>NW_003315934.1:0-179254 GCF_000001405.40 Homo sapiens
CCTAACCAGTTACTTAATTTATGTGGTCCTTAAGATGAAAACAGATCAGATCTTCAAAGACAAAACCACACCTTTTCCTTGGAGTTTAACAAAGATACTGAAATACAGTATTCTTCAATAGCATTCCCTTGATACCTGGCAGCCAGCAGGCCCTCCATGCATGTGTGGTGAATGAATATGCATGATAATACAGAACTATCTAACACGTATTTCATGCTTTTTGTATGCCAGGCACTGTTATAAGCTTTTTACATACTAACTGCTGTTATCATCCTCAATTTGCAGGTGAGGAAACCGAGGCACGCACAAGTTAAATGACTACCCCAGCTCCTCTAGGAACCAAGATGAACAGCTCTCATTACGAATATTTGTTTTAACACAGCCACTTTACTAACCATGGAGCTTTGTTCAAATTGTTATTATTACAGAATCTTGCTCTGTCATCCAGGCTGGAGTGCGGTAGCGCAATTTTGCCTCACGGCAACCTCTGCCTCCCAGGTTCAAGTGATTTTCCTACCTCAGCCTCCTGAGTAACTGGGACAAGAGGCACATGCCACTACACCCAGCTAATTTTTGTATTTTTAGTAGAGACAGGGTTTCACCATGTTGGCTAGGCTGGTCTCAAACTCCCAACCTCAAGCAATCCACTCACCTCGGCCTCCCAAAGTGCTGGGATTACAGGTGTGAGCCCACCACACCCGGCCCAAATTATTTTTAACTCATTGTCTCTATAATGAGAGTAATAACAACCTCATAGATTGTTGAGTGAATTAAAATGAGACATTTAACCCACAGTCTGTTGTCCTGAACTCTCGTGGCCAAATGCATGCGGTTCTGAAAAACTCACTTTAAAAAAGGGTAATGAAATTCATATAATATATATTATATGATAACCTCTATTGGAGTGTGAGCCAATACCCTATAATCAAAAACATGAGCATTTCTGTAGTGAAACATGAATATTCACACTGAATGAGAGGAATAAAGACCATAAATAGTCTAGTATCAATTCATATAAGTCTTTAGCAACAAGTTAAGTCCAGTGGGGAAAAAAATCAGTTTTCAGAGATTTTTCAATTTCAGAATTAGAGGAAAAGTATTGTGGACTTGTGTGATCTATAATGGTCATTGACTTTATGACTTTGATATTTAAGGACACCTTAATATGTGATTGGCAAGGGCCACATTTTAAGTAATTTTGGATCCTTCAATGTGAATGGTTTTTTTTCTCCTCTTAATTTCTCTGAGGTTTCCTTGCTTGTAGAATGTGGATGATAGAGCCTGCTTTGCAAAGTGGTTGTGAGGTTTAGAAATAATAAATATAAAGTGCCTGGGACAGGCCGGGCGCAGTGGCTCATACCTGTAATACCAGCACTTTGGGAGGCCGAGACGGGAGGATCACGAGGTCAAGAGTTTGAGACCAGCCTGACCAACATGGTGAAACCCCGTCACTACTAAAAATAAAAAAATTAGCCAGACGTGGTGGCGCATGCCTATAAGCCCAGCTACTCAGGAGGCTGAGGCAGGAGAATCACTTGAACCCGGGTGGCGGAGGTTGCAGTGAGCCAAGATTGTGCCAGTGCACTCCAGCCAGGGCGACAGAGTGAGACTCCATCTCACAAAAAAAAAAAAAGTACCTAGGACAAAATAGACCAACCTACACAAAAATGGTGGCTGCTGTTGGTATTATTTAATATTAAAAATAGCTAGAAGATTTAAAAGTTTGCTTCTGTCCTGTGAGATGAGGAATATGTGGGAAACAATATCAGGATAAATATCCTGGGTTCAGCACCTCTCCACATGTGAGTGATGGATGAGTAGTTCCTGAGACATCACTGTGGATTTGGTGACCCAATGGCAGTAACCTGGCATCCGGCAGTGGGAGGTGGAGACAAGTTGGTGTGATGAGTGTGCATGTGCATGAGGGACCTCTGCAGGGACATAGGGCATATATTGGATTCCAGAAGGCTCTTGTAATACTGTTGTCCATGCATCAAACCATAGAATGTGGTGTACTTCTGTGGAACTCAACACTTTGCATGGTAATGTCTCTCAGAGTTGGTGGCTAACTCTTTGGTCCTGAACCTGATTATGTTCATGTTATTGCTGTTCTTTGGCACCTTGTGCCCTTGCAAGTACTTCAGTGTAGGCATTATGGAGGGATGTGCTGAATATTGACTCTCTTTGGTAAAAGAGACTCTTTCACTTTAGGGCCTTGTGGCACTGCCCAGTTGAACTTACTGGAATAATAGAAATAGTCAATATCTGAGCTGTCCAGTATGGTAACCACGAGACACGTGGGCCATTGAGCACTTGAATGTGGCTAGTGTGATTGGAGAACTGGATTTTTAATTTTCTTTAATTTTAGTTAAATAAATAAGTTCAAATATCTGTAACTATAGACGACCACATGCAATGAGTGGCAGTCTTATTGAAAAGTGCAGCCTTAAGACATTCACTGAATACCCTTGTTTATTTCTCACTGTTTTCTTTATTATGATTATTGCACCCAGAGCAATTGCACCTGCAATAGAGACAGGTTTATTCACCTCACGCAGTTCCTTTTTATTTTATTTTATTTTATTTTTGAGAGAGAGTCTTACTCTGTCTTCCAGGCTGGAGTGCAGTGGTATGATAATGTAATAATGGTTTACTGCAGCTCAAACTTCTGGGCTCAAGCGATCCTCCTGCGTCAAGCCTCCTGAGTAGCTGGGATTACAGGCATGCACCACCATGTCTGGCTAATTAAAATTTGTTTTTGTAGAGACAGAGTCTTGCTATGTTGTCCAGGCTAGCATTGAACTCTTGGCCTCAAGTGATCCTCCCACCTCAGCCTCCCAAAGCACTGAGATTATAGGCATGAACCACTGCACCTGGCCTCATGTAGATCTTAACAGAGATCTACTAGAACTCAGAAGGTGTTGGTATCTGATCCATTGCTTGTGCCCATGTTGCCAAAATATGATTATAACCATCTCCACACTGTAGCTTACATGTGTATGTGTGTTGTTATTGTTCTTAGGAAGAGTGCTGAAAAGATTGAGGAAACTGTTAGCGATAGCTCCTCAGAAAGTGAGGAAGATGAAGAACCACCTGACCATCGTCAGGAAGCAAGTGCAGATTTGCCATCAGAATATTGGCAAATTCAGAAGCTGGTGAAATATTTAAAGGTAAGAAAGGCCTGTGGTAGTATGTTTGCAATGTTCATTTAAAATACTTTCCCAAGGATGTATATGCTGATTCCAAGTTTATGTTTCTTTCAAATAAGAGTAGTAAGCATTCCTGTTGTTTTATCTAAGTGTGTGCAGGGAAAGGTCTTATTACCCTGAGGATGCAAGATTCATCCTCATGGAGCAACCAGGCTGCCTGGTACCAACCCTCTCTCCTGGCTGGGGAGTGCCCATGGTAAACAGCTGACACTGAGACTTGCTGCCATTTTATGATTTGTAGTATGGTATGGAAGAAATAACATGGATTTTTAAAGCGGACTTTGGTTAAACTCCAGGCTGTTTCCCTTACTAGCAACGTAGCTGTTGAAACGTTACAGTTTTGAGCCCTAATTTTCTCAACACTTGGAATAAAATTAATATACCTGTACTACAGGACTATTATAAAGTTTAAGAAAACACACTTGAAACATACAGCGTGGTTTCTGAGACATTGTGGGTGTTTATAATGTGGATTGGTTCATTTTCATTTCTCTCAAGTCAGATAGCATATATGAGAATATTTTACATAATAATTGGCCACGTAATGTATTTAAGTACTTGAATTTGCAGGAGGGCAAGGGGAATGACTCACCAAAACCCAGATTAATATTCATTTCTGATGTCAGATAGCAAGTATTGATGATATCTAGGCCTTGTGTAAAGTCGACGTCCAGAGTATTTGAAAAAGCATTTGACTCAACTCATGTTTTCTTTCTGCTTTTCCATGTCTTTGGTCAAATCAACCAAGGGCATTTGCCAGTGGCTTTGCTTGATTCAATCATTGCAGTGTAAACATTTATCAAAATATCACATTGTACTCCACAAAAATACACAATTATTCTTTGTCAATTAAAAATAATTTGTATTTTGGCTGGGCGTGGTGGCTCACGCCTGTAATCCCAGCACTTAGGGAGGCCGAGGTGGGTGGATCATCTGAGGTCAGGAGATCAAGACTAGCCTGGCCAACATGGTGAAACCCTGTCTCTACTAAAAATACAAAAAAATTAGCCGAGTGTGGTGGTGGACGCCTGTAATCCCAGCTACTTGGGAGGCTGAGGCAGGAGAATCGCTTGAACCCAGGAGGCGGAGGTTGCAGTGAGCCAAGATCGCACCATTGCACTCCAGCCTGGGTGACAAGAGCAAAACTCCATCTCAAAAAGTAAAATAAATAAAATTTTGTATTTCAGAAAGGACATGAGCTTATACAAAACAAGCCCTAATGCTCAACTTGGAGATCCTTTTGGCAGGCTCTTAATGATTTTACCAACATCAATGCAAAATGAAAAATATTGTTTTTTGGTCTGGACTGTTTGTCATGAAACAAACCTCTAGACTACTGGAGAGAACAGTTAATATTTTGTGAGTTTTAAAATTTCATGTTAAGCGTGATACTTCATAAATATTAAATATTTTTATGGCATCTGTCAATTTTTAAAATGTTTTTTATTTGGCATTTATTTTGTGTTAATGTTTCCCTCATTTAGTGTTTCATATTATGAAATTCCTATATCAGGTGCACATTGTTGTTACATGTTGTTGCAGTATATAATTATGTCACATATTTTGGCTCATAATAATAATAAATCATGCATTTATTACATAAGTTTTTTTTTTTTACAGAAAACCTCTGAAATTTTTAGCATAACTCTACCACAAAAAATGATTCACTGTTTATTATGATAGAAATGATTCACTATTATTACAGGCATTCATTATTATTTAAAGACATGTAAATTAAATGTTAGGAAAAATACAGAATAATATAATTTTGGGAACTCATGAAAATTCCTAGGAATTTTGATTGTATATTCCTGAATCTTGAAGATGAACCTGTCGGGAATTTGGAAACACTAGCATGGAGCACAGGCTAGATTCAGGCCACACGTTTCTGCACTCCCCTTTGGCAGGAGTATTTGTGCACAAACCACATAGTTCAACACAGAGGTCCCGCCTGGCACACATGGCGACCATGTCCAGCCTTGGGACATTTAGGACAACCTTGCAACAGTGCCTCTGCATCTTTACTGAACCCCAGGGCCTCCTGTAATTACCTCTCCTGGACTTCTAAAAAGCATGCCATCTGGGGAAAAAAAAACAAAACTGGCAGTGGAGAACTTTGCCAACACCACTCTCTCTCTGAGGCGGGCAGCTCTAGACAGGGTGACTGAGGCTTAGACATGGTCCGCCCTTCTTCCTCTCCTTTCCTCTCCTTTCCTCTCCTCCCCTCTCCTCCCCTCTCCTCCCCTCTCCTCCCCTCCCCTCTTTCCTTTTCTCTTTCCTAGGCTGATCCTGAACTCCTGGCCTCAAGCAGTCTTCCCACCTTGGCTCCCAAAGTGCTGGGATTGCAGGCATGAGCCTCTACACCCGTCCAAGACATAGCCTTTCAGAAGATGAATTAAGAGAGGCCTGAGTTTTTCCCAGGAGTCCTGGTCCATTATCTTTATTTCATTAGCAAAAGGAAACAGAGTCAAAATGGCAGAAGCAAAAGATGGGCTAGGAAGCAGAATACCAGAGTAATTAGAAGCACGATCTTTGACGTTGGAAAGACCAGTTGAGTTGAAATTCTGCCACTTACTCAATAGCCTTGGATGAGTTGACTAACCCCTCTAAGCTTCAGTTTCCTCATTGGTGAAGGTGGAAAAATAAAAGTTCTCTTATATTAGGATTATTAAGAATGTTAAATGAAATACAACACATGTAAAGTGCTTAGCACAAAGTAGTAACTGTTGGCAATAATAATCATTGCTATTGCTTATTATTATTGTAGCAAATGTGTGGCATGGAGACTTAACTGACTCGTGCAGGTGGCCTTCAACTTTTACTTTCAGTTCTCTAGCAACCAATAAAAGGGGGGAAATAGAGTGAGTTAATACAGGGAGGGAAAGTCTCTCAACGTCTTAAAATAAAAACAAACCAGTTGCCAGTGAGTATAACTGATCCTGGTGCTAAGAGCAGGAAGAATTTTCTCCCTTAGGATTTAATGGGGCAGGCACAGAGTGAGAGAGTGAACAGCCGCAATAATACCCTCCCAGTGAACATGGCAAAGAGAGTTTCTCATAATAGCCTAATTACTGGATAACTGTCTTGAGTTTTTCAACTATTTAGGATAAGTCCAGGTAGCATTAGGCCAAAAAGAGATGCACTATTTCTGTCCCAGTACAGCTAAAAAAAACATTTATTGATGAAGTGCTACTTAAATTTGCACGAGTTATTCATCAATAAATCATGTGCAAATGTGATACTCTTGGCCAGACAGTAAATTGCTTGGAATTCTTATAGTTCCCACAGGTAAATATTCTTCATGTAGCCAATAAAAGGAAAAGTATATCTTTAAATGATTTCAAGGTTTTCGACACAGATAAATATTCTATCTGGAGACATAAAATGATACTAGAAGTCTATGAAATGCAAAGTTGAATGTCTCTAGGCAATCTCAAAATAAATACACTTAACATTTTAATTTATGAAATTATGATTTAAATGTAGATTTAAGCTAGCAGAGAAATGTTCATGTTGACCTGACTTTCTATTTACCATTTTCTAAGTAATGTCTGTGATTGTTGGGGAAAAAAAAGAGATTTAATGAGCTCATTAATACCCAGACAGGTCAATGAACTATAGCTTATTAATTGTCCAGAGCTATGAGCTCATATCTTGGCACATCAAAATAGTTTGTATTTAATTATTTGGTTTGACATATGTTAATTTCAACCTGCAAGTTTTATATATGTATATATTCTTTTCATCTGGATTTTTTGAACACAATTTAATTTTTAAATTAATGAATGTATCACATTTTTACTCACCAACCTTCCAGCTTCTTCTCTCTCCCATAGCTGATGATGCTGTACCCTAATTCTAAAGGAAGCAAGGAACCCCCTTTTCAGCTACCTTACTGATAAGCACTTATGTTCTGCCTTCTGCCATCCTGATGGTTCAGGTTGTCTGTCTTACTACCTACTTCTTGAGTAGAGAGATCACATTAAATTTATTGCTGTATCTCGCAGGGCATCTTGCTAATGTGCACAGGCTCGCCTCCCTACCTCTGCCCTAATGGTGCGAAGGGGAGAGAGCGAGGTTCCTTAGTGGCAGGGCTTTGCTGTTCTTCACTCTCAGCCCCCTGAAAGCAGTTCTTCCTGCCTCTGAGCCTGTCTTTCCTTCTGCTGTTGACTTCTTTCCTACTTTTTTTGCATCCCTCTCTCTTCCTTTTCCTGCCGTCTTTCTTGTAGACATACTAGTTGATTGCTGTATTTGCTGACTTTATATGGATATTATTTTCTCCCTTGGCCAAGATTGTTTTAAAATCTTGCAAGGAAAATGTCTTGCTTTTGATCACTTCTAGCGATTAAAGGAGATGGTTTGTTAATGTCTCTATGCTCCATACTAAATCTATGAGTCTCTCTAAAACTTCAGTGAAATCATGCTCATTTCTAAATAAGGTATGTGGAGAGCCCCTTTGTGAAATACGAGAAGGGATGTAGGATATTTTCTTTGTTTGGAAATGTGGAAATAAATATTAGTTACAAGTACTCTATGTTATAAATTCATACAAATGGGTATTCTGCAGTAGAGTGGGGTAAAATGTTGAAAGGTCATAATTATAAGTAGGTTTGCATTTTATACACATTATAATGAAAAAGAATTTCTGGACCCAAAGTCAAAAACATGTTGAAATCCATTTCATGTAATCCCAGCACTTTGGGAGGCCAAGGCGGGCAGATCACGAGGTCAGGAGATTGAGACCATCCAGACCATGGTGAAACCCCGTCTCTACTAAAATACAAAAAATTAACTGGGAATGGTGGCATGCACCTGTAGTCCCAGCTACTTGGGAGGCTGAGGAAGGGGAATCTCTTGAACCAGGAGGCAGAGGTTGCAGTGAGCTGAGATGGTGCCACGTCCCTCCAGCCTGGGCGACAGAGCAAGACTCCGTCTCAAAAACAAACAAACAAACAAAAAAACAAAAAAGAAATCCATTTCAATGTGGATTGAAGGTAGAGTGGATATAGTATTTAACACTTATAGGATCAGTAAATCCAAGAAGAAACTGAGAAGACTAGAATAATGCCAAGAACATGGTTGGTTGTCAGCTTTTTGGTAGTTTAGAGGCATTTCAGAGGCTGGGCCTAGAATTATGCTTTCTTTCCCTTGAAGATATTTCCTAGAGCTGTCACTAGAGGGTAAGATGCCCGTATTATCCAGGCACCAGCTCTAGGCTCACGAAGGGTTACATTGGCAAGCACAGTTGGATATCTGCCCATACTCTGAAATGCTTCATCCAGCCTGTCTTATTCCTGAGTACTTGCTGCAATGATGGAGGCCTCTAGGGCTCATTCCCAGGGCCATTTCTCCACGTGTACCTCCTCCCTGTGGGATGCCAGCTTCTGTACCTGGGATTTTGATCAGAGTCCAGGTGGGAGAGTGGGGAAAGGGATGATGAAAGCACTGATTTGGAAAGATGAATCCAGCAGCAGGTGGTGTGCCAAGTGAATCTAATGGGAAGGGATGAGAAGACAGTGACAACGGGTTTACACTGGTAGAAAGGATGGCCATTACCACACATTCATCCTCACCCCTGACCCACGATGGGTTGGTGAGGGGTAGCATAAGCCTAATTTGTTTGTCCTATATCATCAAATTCATCAAACACTGGAGTTGATTTCACCTTTCACATGAGCCACATTGCTTGCCATGCTTCTGCTCTGTAACCATAAATTGAGAATTTTCAGGCCACCAGATGCCTGGTGGATCCCAGCTTAGCAGTGGTCAATACTCTATTCCTGAGTGGCATCTAAAAGACATTCACATCAGAAATGCCACCGGGCTGCCAACTTCAGAAGGGACTCCCAGAGCTCTCTCCCTGGTAGGTTTTGGGTTTCTTCTCTGGAGGTGGATTCTTGGCAAGGACATTTTTCAGACTTGAAACCCTTTGTTAAAGACTGCATTTGTGGGGCTCAGTTCCTTAATGATCTTACGTAAACTGATTAAACACACACACACACATAAATACATACACATACACACACACACACACACACACACACACCCCTGGGCTTAAAGCGTGCTTTCGAGTGGTAATTGGAAGTTGTGTGAGTTTTTGTTGTAGGAATTTGATGTACTTTGCAATCAATTACAGTTAATTCAATTCCTTTCCCATTACTTGAGTTTTGGGTATGGAGTGGCAGGTAGTTTGATCCTTGTTTCATTGGTGGAAAAGCTGAGAAATTCTTTGCTCCAGGACACACAGAAGGCAGCTGCAGGACTGAGTCCAGGCTTCTATCTTTATTGCCCATTGCCTGGTTGTTTGGTTCCACTGTCAAGAAATTCAGGACCCAGGAGGCCTGCAGAACCTACTGTTGTATCTTCCTGTCTTTCTCTTGTTTGGATTTCTTCATTTGAGTGAGAGTCAACAGGGAGCCCTTCCCATAAAGGAACTCAGTATTCATGTTTGGAAGGCCATATTAGACGGTGCTCTTCTGCTGTCTTTACTTAAAAAAAAAATAGAAAAGAACGTGATGGCACAGAGTTATTCTTGTTAAAAAGAGTATTTCAAAAATGGAAAACGATGGTCCCTGTTCATCCACTCAAATCAACTCCAGTAGTTAGAAAGGCAAATGAGTACCATGTTCCTGAGAAACATTCTTTAAGTTAGTACATGTGTTGCTACATTGATGTGGGTTGAGCTTTCTTTTTTTTTTTTTTTTTAATTTTTTTTTTATTGATAATTCTTGGGTGTTTCTCACAGAGGGGGATTTGGCAGGGTCATGGGACAATAGTGGAGGGAAGGTCAGCAGATAAACAAGTGAACAAAGGTATCTGGTTTTCCTAGGCAGAGGACCCTGCGGCCTTCCGCAGTGTTTGTGTCCCTGATTACTTGAGATTAGGGAGTGGTGATGACTCTTAACGAGCATGCTGCCTTCAAGCATCTGTTTAACAAAGCACATCTTGCACCGCCCTTAATCCATTTAACCCTGAGTGGACACAGCACTTGTTTCAGAGAGCACAGGGTTGGGGGTAAGGTCACAGATCAACAGGATCCCAAGGCAGAAGAATTTTTCTTAGTGCAGAACAAAATGAAAAGTCTCCCATGTCTACTTCTTTCTACACAGACACGGCAACCATCCGATTTCTCAATCTTTTCCCCACCTTTCCTGCCTTTCTATTCCACAAAGCCGCCATTGTCATCCTGGCCCGTTCTCAATGAGCTGTTGGGCACACCTCCCAGACGGGGTGGTGGCTGGGCAGAGGGGCTCCTCACTTCCCAGTAGGGGCGGCCGGGCAGAGGCGCCCCTCACCTCCCGGACGGGGCGGCTGGCCGGGCGGGGGGCTGACCCCCCACCTCCCTCCCGGACAGGGCGGCTGGCCGGGCAGAGGGGCTCCTCACTTCCCAGTAGGGGCGGCCGGGCAGAGGCACCCCTCACCTCCCGGATGGGGCGGCTGGCCGGGCGGGGGGCTGACCCCCCCACCTCCCTCCTGGACAGGGCGGCTGGCCGGGTGGGGGGCTGACCCCCCCACCTCCCTCCCGGATGGGGCAGCTGGCCGGGCAGGGGGCTGACCCCCCCACCTCCCTCCCGGACGGGGCGTCTTGCTGGGCAGAGGGGCTCTTCACTTCCCAGTAGGGGTGGCCGGGCAGAGGTGCCCCTCACCTCCCAGACGGGGCGGCTGGCCGGGCGGGGGGCTGACCCCCCCACCTCCCTCCCGGATGGGGCGGGTGGCCGGGCGGGGGGCTGACCCCCCCACCTCCCTCCCGGACAGGGCGGCTGGCCAGGCGGAGACGCTCCTCACTTCCCAGATGGGGTGGCTGCCGGGCGGAGAGGCTCCTCACTTCTCAGACGGGGCAGCTGCCGGGCGGAGGGGCTCCTCACTTCTCAGACGGGGTGGTTGCCAGGCAGAGGGTCTCCTCACTTCTCAGATGGGGCGGCCGGGCAGAGACGCTCCTCACCTCCCAGACGGGGTCGTGGCCGGGCAGAGGCGCTCCTCACATCCCAGACGGGGCAGTGGGGCAGAGGCGCTCCCCACATCTCAGACGATGGGCGGCCGGGCAGAGACGCTCCTCACTTCCTAGATGTGATGACGGCCGGGAAGAGGTGCTCCTCACTTCCTAGATGGGATGGCGGCCGGGCAGAGACGCTCCTCACTTTCCAGACTGGGCAGCCAGGCAGAGGGGCTCCTCACATCCCAGACGATGGTTGGCCAGGCAGAGACACTCCTCACTTCCCAGACGGGGTGGCGGCCGGGCAGAGGCTGCAATCTCGGCACTTTGGGAGGCCAAGGCAGGCGGCTGGGAGGTGTAGGTTGTAGCGAGCTGAGATCAGGCCACTGCACTCCAGCCTGGGCACCATTGAGCACTGAGTGAATGAGACTCCGTCTGCAATCCCGGCACCTCGGGAGGCCGAGGCTGGCAGATCACTCGCGGTTAGGGGCTGGAGACTGGCCCGGCCAACACAGCAAAACCCCGTCTCCACCAAAACCAGTCAGGCGTGGCGGCGCGTGCCTGCAATCGCAGGCACTCGGCAGGCTGAGGCAGGAGAATCAGGCAGGGAGGTTGCAGTGAGCCGAGATGGCAGCAGTACAGTCCAGCTTTGGCTCCGCATGAGAGGGAGACCGTGGAAAGAGAGGGAGACTGTGGGGAGAGGGAGAGGGAGAGGGAGAGGGAGAGCGGGTTGAGCTTTCTTAAAAAAGTCAGTGACAAACGAATAGGACAACTTTTGTGACTATTTTTTTAAAATTGCCATGTTTGAAATCATAAGATATTTAAATTCCATCAGCTAAAAAAAGTCTACTCAGAATCTGCATTTATGTTTTCATAAATATTGTAGTGTAAGAAATGAATGCATTTTAAGTATTTGGATTATTGGTAATGTGTGTTACTTGTATGGTTATATTGCCCACAAAAGAATTTGTCATCTTTTATTTTTGTTATAAAGGAGATTGTGGAAGAAATGGAGAAGCTCATCTCCGTCATTCCCAAAGGGGAATCTGTATTTAAATTCTTGAGCTTTAAGCTTTCCTTGCCTCTTGGCATTCATAAGTAAATACGTGTGGAGAAAAAGCAGAGTAAAGACAATTAGATCAGTATGATAACACAATGCTACTGACTCATAACAGTTTATATGACCACTAGCTA
The DNA here is from genome assembly GCF_000001405.40 of Homo sapiens. Taxonomy (NCBI): domain Eukaryota; kingdom Metazoa; phylum Chordata; class Mammalia; order Primates; family Hominidae; genus Homo; species Homo sapiens. Next base: position 12,337 of record NW_003315934.1, read on the forward strand.
GCACTATGCTACCACGTCAACTTAACGACTGAAAAATGACAATATTGAAAATCTCAGGGGAGTTCCCTTAAGCTTTAACTCATTCATTCATTCACTCACTCATGTGTTTATTCATGAACGTGTGCTATGAGCCAGCACAGCTAGAGCATACTGATGATACACATACCCATCTAGTTATTTGTAAGATTTTTGATTGGCATGAACTGTGATATCTAAGGCAGTTTTATGTAGTAGATCTTTTCGGGGAATTTCTTGCCCCATGTTTTTGCAACAACACTTATTTTTGTTCCTTAAAATATGCTTTTCCCCTAAAATTCATTTGAGAAAGCTAAGTAGATTGGAGAAGAGTAGTGGTACTGGCTGGTTCCCAGTTTCTATAATGTGCTAGGCTGCTTTGCTTTCTGTTTTAAAAACGCACACTCATGGCCTGTTACAGAGCCTGCATGCTGAAGAATTTTTAGTATATGAGTTAAGGAGTGAATAAGAGGCATAAGATTTGGTATAAATGATTTTTCATTTTATATCTCTCTATAGATCTATTGTCATTATTTAAAATTGCATTTTGCAGGAAAAATATTAAACTGCATGTCCCTTTTTGGTCCATTGGCCTGTGAGATTTCTCTCGCAGGGCTGTGGTTCTTCCCAGCTCTTGCTCCCGGGGTGGGTGTGGCTGTCTGGTTGTGGCTGCTGATGTTTCTGTGACACAGGACATAGCAGAAGCACGTGGTATTCTTCCCGTTTCCCTTACTCCCTTCTGTGTTTAAAATCTTTAAATATTATACAAATAGCACACTCATATATGCTTAATATAAAACTTCAAGCCATGCAAAGTGAAAGCCCCTTCCAGATATTTCTCTGTTTATATACATATACATATACATATATCATTTATATACATAAATGAAATCCTACTATTATTCTACATTTTGCTTTTTATATTTAATATTCTGTCTTGGTGATCTTTCATATCTGCCTCACTCCTTTTAATTACTACATAGTATTTCATTAAAGGTATATATCATTAATTTATTGAGCAATTGCCTTATTGATAACATTTAAGTTGTCCCTCAAATCACTTTTTGTTACTACAAACAATACTGCAGCTAATATTTTTACATATTCTTTGGATATGTGCATTATTTCTATAGGATGGATTCTTTGAAATGGAATTGCTTGAGTCAAAGAGAATGCACATTTACATTTTTGATAGCACTAATAGGGAGTTCTATACACATGCCAAGACATATATAAGATTTTTGAGATGGAGCCAAGATGGCCGAATAAGAACAGCTCCAGTCTATGGCTCCCAGCATGAGCGATGCAGAAGACGGGTGATTTCTGCATTTCCAAGTGAGATACCGGGTTCATCTCACTGGGGAGTGCCGGACAGTGGGTGTGGGACAGTGGGTGCAGCGCACCCTGTGTGAGCTGAAGCAGGGCGAGGCATCGCCTCACCCAGGAAGTGCAAGGGGTCAGGGAATTCCCTTTCCTAGTCAAAGAAAGGGGTGACAGACGGCACCTGGAAAATTGGGTCACTCCCACCCTAATACTGCGCTTTTCCAACAGGCTTAACAAATGGCACACCAGGAGATTATATCCCGCACATGGCTCGGGGGGTCCTACGCCCACGGAGCCTCACTCATTGCTAGCACAGCAGTCCGAAATCAAACTGCAAGGTGGCAGCGAGGCTGGGGGAGGGGTGCCCGCCATTGCCGAGGCTTGAGTAGGTAAACAAAGCTGCTGGGAAGCTCAAACTAGGTGGAGCCCACCGCAGCTCAAGGAGGCCTGCCTGCCTCTGTAGGCTCCACCTCCAGGGGCAGGGCACAGACAAAAGGCAGCAGTAACCTCTGCAGATTTAAATGTCCCTGTCTGACGGCTTTGAAGAGAGTAGTGGTTCTCCCAGCACACAGCTTCAGATCTGAGAACAGGCAGACTGCCTCCTCAAGTGGGTCCCTGGCCCCCAAGTAGCCTAACTGGGAGGCACCCCCCAGTAGGGGCGGACTGACACCTCACACGGCCAGGTACTCCTCTGAGACAAAACTTCCAGAGGAATGATCAGGCAGCAGCATTTGCGGTTCACCAATATCCACTGTTCTGCAGCCACCGCTGCTGATACCCAGGAAAACAGGATCTGGAGTGGACCTCCAGCAAACTCCAACAGACCTGCCGCTGAGGGTCCTGACTGTTAGAAGGAAAACTAACAAACAGAAAGGACATCCACACCAAAAACCCATCTGTACATCACCATCATCAAAGACCAAAGGTAGATAAAACCACAAAGATGGGGAAGAAACAGAGCAGAAAAACTGGAAACTCTAAAAATCAGAGCACCTCTCCTCCTCCAAAGGAACACAGCTCCTCACCAGCAATGGAACAAAGCTGGACGGAGAATGACTTTGACGAGTTGAGAGAAGAAGGCTTCAGAAGATCAAACTACTCCGAGCTAAAGGAGGAAGTTTGAACCAATGGTAAAGAAGTTAAAAACCTTGAAAAAAAATTAGACAAATGGCTAACTAGAATAACCAATGCAGAGAAGTCCTTAAAGGACCTGATGGAGCTGAAAACCATGGCATGAGAACTACGTGACGAATGTACAAGCCTCAGTAGCTGATGCGAACAACTGGAAGACAGGGTATCAGTGATGGAAGACGAAATGAATGAAATGAAGTGAGAAGAGAAGTTTAGAGAAAAAAGAATAAAAAGGAACGAACAAAGCCTCCAAGAAATATGGGACTATGTGAAAAGACCAAATCTACGTCTGATTGGTGTACCTGAAAGTGACAGTGAAAATGGAACCAGGTTGGAAAACACTCTTTAGGATATTATCCAGGAGAACTTCCCCAATCTAGCAAGGCAGGCCAACATTCAAATTCAGGGAATACAGAGAATGTCACAAAGATACTCCTTGAGAAGAGCAACTCCAAGACACATAATTGTCAGATTCACCAAAGTTGAAATGAAGGAAAATATGTTAAGGGCAGCCAGAGAGAAAGGTCGGGTTACCCACAAAGGGAAGCCCATCAGACTAACAGCTGATCTCTCGGCAGAAATTCTACAAGCCAGAAGAAAGTGGGGGCCAATAATCAACATTCTTAAAGAAAAGAATTTTCAACCCAGAATTTCATATCCAGAGAAACTAAGCTTCATAAGTGGAGGAGAAATAAAATCCTTTACAGACAAGCAAATGCTGAGAGATTTTGTCACCACCAGGCCTGCCCTAAAAGAGCTCCTGAAGGAAGCACTAAACATGGAAAGGAACAGCTGGTACCAGCCACTGCAAAAACATGCCAAATTGTAAAGACCATCGAAGCTAGGACAAAACTGCATCAACTAACAAGCAAAATAACCAGCTAACATCATAATGACAGGATCAAATTCACACATAACAATAGTAACCTTAAGTGTAAATGGGCTAAATGCTCCAATTAAAAGACACAGACTGGCAAATCGGATAAAGAGTCAAGACCCATCAGTGTGCTGTATTCAGGAAACCCATCTCATGTGCAGAGACACACATAGGCTCAAAATAAAGGGATGGAGGAAGATCTACCAAGCAAATGGAAAACAAAAAAAGGCAGGGGTTGCAATCCTAGTCTCTGAAAAAACAGACTTTAAACCAAGAAAGATCAAAAGAGACAAAGAAGGCCATTACATAATGGTAAAGGGATCAATTCAACAAGAAGAGCTAACTATCCTAAATATATATGCACCCAATACAGGAGCACCCAGATTCATAAAGCAAGTCCTTAGTGACCTACAAAGAGACTTAGACTCCCACACAATAATAATGGGAGACTTTAAGACCCCACTGTCAACATTAGACAGATCAACGAGACAGAAAGTTAACAAGGATATCCAGGAATTGAACTCAGCTCTGCACTAAGCAGACCTAATAGACATCTACAGAACTCTCCACCCCAAATCAACAGAATATACATTCTTTTCAGCATCACACCACACCTATTCCAAAACTGACCACATAGTAGGAAGTAAAGCACTCCTCAGCAAATGTAAAAGAACAGAAATAATAACAAACTGTCTCTCAGACCACAGTGCAATCAAACTAAAACTCAGGATTAAGAAATCACTCAAAACCGCTCAACTACATGGAAACTGAACAACCTGCTCCTGAATGACTACTGGGTACATAACGAAATGAAGGCAGAGATAAAGATGTTCTTTGAAAACAACGAGAACAAAGACACAACATACCAGAATCTCTGGGACACATTCAAAGCAGTGTGTAGAGGGAAATTTATAGCACTAAATGCCCACAAGAAAAAGCAGGAAAGATCTAAAATTGACACCCTAACATCACAATTAAAAGAACTAGAGAAGCAAGAGCAAACACATTCAAAAGCTAGCAGAAGGCAAGAAATAACTAAGATCAGAGCAGAACTGAAGGAAATAGAGACACAAAAAACCCTTCAAAAAATCAATCCAGGAGCTGGTTTTTTGAGGAGATCAACAAAATTGATAGACCGCTAGCAAGACTAATGAAGAAAAGAGAGAAGAATCAAATAGACGCAAAAAAAAATGACAAAGGGGATATCACCACCGATCCCACAGAAATACAGACTACCATCAGAGAATGCTATAAACGCCTCTACACAAATAAACTAGAAAATCTAGAAGAAATGGATAAATTCCTCGACACCTATACCCTCCCAAGACTAAACCAGGAAGAAGTTGAGTCTCTGAATAGAGCAATAACAGGCTCTGAAATTGAGGCAATAATTAATAGCTTACCAACCAATAAAAGTCCAGGACCAGATGGATTCACAGCCAAATTCTACCAGAGGTATGAGGGAGGAGCTGGTACCATTCCTTCTGAAACTATTCCAATCAATAGAAAAAGAGGGAATCCTCCCTAACTCATTTTATGAGGCCAGCATCATCCTGATACCAAAGCCTGTCAGAGACACAACCAAAAAAGAGAATTTTAGACCAATATTCTTGATGAACATTGATGCAACAATCCTCAATAAAATATTGGCAAACTGAATCCAGCAGCACCTCAAAAAGCTTATCCACCATGATCAAGTGGGCTTCATCCCTGGGATGCAAGGCTGGTTCAACATATGCAAATCAATAAACATAATCCAGCATATAAACAGAACCAAAGACAAAAACCACATGATTATCTCAATAGATGCAGAAAAGGCCTTTGACAAAATTCAACAACACTTCATGCTAAAAACTCTCAATAAATTAGGTATTGATGGGACATATCTCAAAATAATAAGAGTTATCTATGACAAAGCCACAGCCAATATCATACTGAATGGGCAAAAACTGGAAGCATTCCCTTTGAAAACTGGCACAAGACAGGGATGCCCTCTCTCACCACTCCTATTCAACATAGTGTTGGAAGTTCTGGCCAGGGCAGTCAGGCAGGAGAAGGAAATAAAGGGCATTCAATTAGGAAAAGAGGAAGTCAAATCGTCCCTGTTTGCAGATGACATAATTGTATATCTAGAAAACCCCATCGTCTCAACCCAAAATCTCCTTAAGCTGATAAGCAACTTCAGCAAAGTCTCAGGATACAAAATCAATGTGCAACAATCACAAGCATTCTTATACACCAATAACAGACAAACAGAGAGCCAAATCATGAGTGAACTCCCATTCACAATTGCTTCAAAGAGAATAAAATACCTAGGAATCCAACTTACAAGGGATGTGAAGCACCTCTTCAAGGAGAACTACAAACCACTGCTCAATGAAATAAAAGAGGATACAAACAAATGGAAGAACAGTCCATGCTCATGGGTAGGAGGAATCAATGTCGTGAAAATGGCCATACTGCCCAAGGTAATTTGTAGATTCAATGCCATCCCCATCAAGCTACCATGACTTTCTTCACAGAATTGGAAAAAACTACTTTAAAGTTCATATGGAACCAAAAAAGAACCCACGTTGCCAAGTCAATCCTAAGCCAAAAGAACAAAGCTGGAGGTATCACGCTACCTGACTTCAAACTATACTACAAGGCTACAGTAACCAAAACAGCATGGTACTGGTACCAAAACAGAGATATAGACCAATGGAAGAGAACAGAGCCCTCAGAAATAATGCCACATATCTACAACTATCTGATCTTTGACAAACCTGACAGAAACAAGAAATGGGGAAAGGATCCCCTATTTAATAAATGTTGCTGGGAAGACTGGCTAGCCATATGTAGAAAGCTGAAACTGGATCCCTTCCTTACACCTTATACAAAAATTAATTCAAGATGGATTAAAGACTTACATGTTAGACCTAAAACCATAAAAACCCTAGAAGAAAACCTAGGCAATACCATTCAGGACATAGGCATGGGCAAGGACTTCATGTCTGAAACACCAAAAGCAATGGCAACAAAAGCCAAAATTGACAAATGGGATCTAATTAAAGAGCTTCTGAACAGCAAAAGAAACCACCATCAGAGTGAACAGGGAACCTACAGAATGGGAGAAAATTTTTGCAACCTACTCATCTGACAAAGGGCTAATATCCGGAATCTACAATAATCTCAAACAAATTTACAAGAAAAAAAAACAACCCCATCAAAAAGTGGGCAAAGTATATGAACAGACACTTCTCAAAATAAGACATTTATGCGGCCAACAGACACATGAAAAAATGCTCATCATCACTGACCATCAGATAAATGCAAATCAAAACCACAATGAGATACCATCTCACACCAGTTAGAATGGCGATCATTAAAAAGTCAGGAAACAACAGGTGCTGGAGAGGATGTGGAGAAATAGGAACACTTTTACACTGTTGGTGGGACTGTAAACTAGTTCAACCATTGTGGAAGTCGGTGTGGCGATTCCTCAGGGATCTAGAACTAGAAATACCATTTGACCCAGCCATCCCATTACTGGGTATATACCCAAAGGATTATAAATCATGCTGCTATAAAGACACATGCTCACATATGTATATTGTGGCACTATTCACAATAGCAAAGACTTGGAACCAACCCAAATGTCCAACAATGATAGACTGGATTAAGAAAATGTGGCACATATACACCATGGAATACTATGCAGCCATAAAAAATGATGAGTTCATGTCCTTTGTAGGGACATGGATGAAACTGGAAACCATCATTCTCAGCAAACTATCGCAAGGACAAAAAACCAAACACCGCATGTTCTCACTCATAGGTGGGAACTGAACAATGAGAACACATGGACACAGGAAGGGGAACATCACACACCGGGGACTGTTGTGGGGTGGGGGGAGTGGGGAGGGATAGCATTAGGAGATATACCTAATGCTAAATGACGAGTTGATGGGTGCAGCACACTAACATGGCACATGTATACATATGTAACCTGAACATTGTACACATGTACCCTAAAACTTAAAGTATGATAATAATAATAATAGTAATAAAAAGAAGCTGTCAGGATGTCTCCAGAGCTCATCTGAGTGGATAAAATATCCAGTTTGTTTCAAATCATCCTTTTTCATTTGAATCCTCAGGTATTATTTTTGTGTGTGTGTGTTGGGGGGTGTTCCTGAGACCCTTGAAGGCCCCTGATAGGCCAGGGAAATTAAAGTTCCAGTGACTGCAGGGAGTGAGGAGCTGAGTAAGAAGAACTTACGTTGCAAGTCACTGTTCTAAGTGATAATGGCAAAAACCATTTAGTCCTCATTTTTACAACCAAAATTTATTACTATCCCATTTTACAGATGAGGATAATGAGGTGAGATTTAACTGTAAATTATTAACATGAAAATACAGTCTTTAAAATTTCTAAAAATAATTTATTTTTGAAATAGCAAACAATATTTTTACCTTTAAAACATATTTACAAATTTAATGTCAGAAAAAGCATTCTAGGAAAACTCAGTAGAATTTAATGTGCAGACCTCTTTATGGCCTAATAATCTTAAAAAGACTTAATACCTGCTCTTGAGCACATTCCAACCTGGGTATACTCAAACTTTTGTTCAAAATGGATTTTAAGAACGTAGATTTTTCCTTGTAGTAAATAAGATTAATTTTGCTAGCCCAGATCAACTCTTGGACTATGTGAAAATGCGAGTGGCTAGTATTCGCATGGATAGACTCAAATTACCCTGAGTTGGCTGGCCTGAACCATGTATGTAACTCACACTTTCTCCTTGCCTGTCCTTTTGCACTGCAGCAGTATCTGAGTTGATCATCTTTTTGGTAAAGGTTTCTGCCGGTTCCTTGGACTTCTCAAGAAGTAGTTGTTCTGACAGCATCCCCTAACATATCCCCCAAGGAGACTCATGCTGGAACCACATAGGCTCAAAGAGCACTTCAAGAAAAAGAAGGCCTGGTCTGGAATGAGAATAGTGGTGGTGTGGGTAACCCAATTTCCTCTCTTCTGAGAAAAAAAGAAATTCAACTGTATGGGTAGAATATCCTTTCCCAAAGCAATTCCAAGATGTTAGACAAATTTTCGCAGTAAAAAAGATGACTGAACACAGAAATACCATTTAGGACATAAAATGGAGGCCAAGGAGGCTGGGTGCGGTGGCTCACGCCTGTAATCCCAGCACTTCGGGAGGCCAAGGCGGGTGGATCACCAGGTCAGGAGATCGAGACCTCCTGACTAACACAGTGAAACTCCATCTCTACTAAGAATACAAAAAATTAGCCGGGTGTGGCGGTGGGCGCCTGTAGTCCCAGCTACTCGAGAGGCTGAGGCAGGAGAATGGCGTGAACCCGGAAGGCAGAGCTTGCAGTGAGCGGAGATCGCGCCACTGTACTCCAGCCTGGGTGACAGAGCAAGACTCTGTCTCAAAAAAAAAAAAAAAAAAAAAAAATGGAGGCCAAGGAAAAGAAGCCATTTAGTTTATTTTCAGAACCATTATTAATTCCTAAGGGCCCAGTTAAGCAACATTTTTATAACAATACATTTTAAAGGCTATTGCACAATACTACATTCTGGACTGACAGGGTAGTAAGTGCTTGCTTTTACTGAATGCTTCATACAATTTTCTTAAACTTCAGTGCTATGCTATGTATTAGTTTATTTTCAGTGTCAAAATCCTTCATTTACGAAGAGTTTTTAACAGAGGTATAATGGTGATAAATCAATATTAATATAAAAAAACAGACATTATGAAAAGGTAATATTCACTGTGTAAATTTGCTATGTGGTTATTAAAAAATTCACTTACATGAAGTCAATTCAATTTGGAAAACGTATCCATTGACTGCTCTCTACTAGGAATAAGCTAAATATTGTAAAAATAAAATAAAATAAAATAAAAACAATTCCTGCCCTCAAGGATACCACTACTGTCTCTGCCCTCAAGGATACCACGACTGTCTCTGAAATCACAGAACTGGGGATGGAGGGGTAGTCACTGGGAACAACGTTCTATGCTTACAGCGTTAAGTAAATGCGGGACGTGAAGCAGATGATACGGGCTTTGATTTTCTCATCTGTGAAACAAGAAAATTAAATTTAATTTAGAAACAGTGAAGGCATTTTCTCAAAAGTTTGTATACTTGTGCTTCTCTTTCTATAATTCACATTCTATTCTACCCTAAATCTTATTAATAAGCAAGAATTCTAATCAGACATTAGTAATCCCCTGATATAAATGTATGTGCACAGCTGGTACCACACTATTACAACATGATGACTTTAGACGGTGCCAAAAATGCCATTTACATGGAGGCCATGTATGCTCAAAAGGTTTTCAAAAGTTACATTTATTGACGTGTTCACATTACTGTGTTGTTTTGGAAAATAGCCAAGAACCCATCTGCTGAATTTTTTTAGACCTTTGGTGTGGAGGTATCTTACTTGTATTCCAACTTAACCACATACCAAGACCTAACAAATCGTTTATTAGAACAACACTAAGACATCCAAACCAATAAATTAACAGGTGGTGCCTAAAAATTGAGTTTTTTTGTTTCATTTAATCAGTTAGTTTAAGCAATTTTAGTTTTCCAGATGTGCTAGGTATTGAATCACCTCAGAGAAGAGTTTGAACAAAACAGATATTGTAAAACTTGGTTTTTATTGCTAAAAATGGAAAGTCTGAAGATTGGAAATTTGACCTAATATTAGCCTCAGATGGAAACAAATTCAAAGCAGAGCCTGGAGATGGGCGGCGTCCAGGATGTCATCACCTGCACTTCCAAGGGCTGCTGTGAAATGAGGAAAATCACCTCCTGATCTCAGCACCAGGCCTGAGCATGCAAAGTCCCAGGGATGCCTAGGTTCTGTATTTACCATTTCAACAAATTTCCTCCTATCACTGATTCTGAAAACACTTTCAAAAAACACACAAATATGTGCTTTCATATATTAACAGACGATAAAAGAACAGAGGGTGGTTAAGAGCTACATGGAACCATGCTTGAAGCCCATTTCCACTTACTTGCTCTCTGACACATACTTGATCTTTCTGAGATTTCATTCCAAATTGATAAAATAGAGCTTTGTGTAGTGGCAGCTTCTGACATGAAGCAAGGCTCTCAGAAAGTGTTGCCTCCCCCTTTCCTTCCTATGCTGCCTCTTGCTTCTACATTGAAAAGCAGTCTGGTGCCCTCTTCTAATGAGACTGAAGCAAAAAGGAATAATGGATTAGCACCTCCAACTAGAGACTAATCAGAAGGTCCATACTGAAAGAAGTCCTGACCACAAAAGTGGACTACCATGAAAGCCTTCAAAGTTTTATACATGAGGAACCATGTCTTGGACAAGGGCACACATCAGTATACCTGTATTAAACATGTGGTGTAGAGGATAGACCCTTCCTATTTCAGTGAAATTAGAGATCATTTGATAGATCACAAAATTTTAGGTTTTTTTTTTTTTTGAGATGAAGTCTCGCTCGGTTGCCCAAGCTCAAGGGCAGTGGTGCGATCTCGGCTCACTGCAATCACTGCCTCCCGGTTTCAAACAATTCTCCTGCCTCAGCCTCCTGAGTAGCGGGATTACAGGCGCCCGCCACCATGCCCAGCTAATTTTTGTATTTTTAGTAGAGACGGGGTTTCACCAGGTTGGTCAGGCTGGTCTGAAACTCCTGACCTCGTGATCCGCCCGCCTCGGCCTCCCAAAGCGGCAATTTTCAGCAAATTGTTCAATTTATGAGGATCAAAATGTATGTTTTATAAAATGAAAATGAGGACTAGCAATTTTGGATTCCAAGGTTTATGAGAGACAGAGTCTCTCTGTGTCGCCCAGGCGGGACTGCAGTGGCGCTATCTTGGCTCACTGCAAGCTCCACCTCCCGGGTTCATGCCATTCTCCTGCCTCAGTCTCCCGAGTAGCTGGGACTACAGGCGCCTGCCACCGCCCAGGCTAATTTTTTTGTATTTTTAGTAGAGACAGAGTTTCACCATGTTAGCCAGGACGGTCTCGATCTCCTGACATCGTGATCTGCCCGCTTTGGCCTCCCAAAGAGCTGGGATTACAGGCGTGAGCCACTGCGCCCGGCCTGGTATATTTTCAAGGTGGTTACCAATCAAGCTAGAATAACCTGGTGCAAATAGTGAAGTGGTTAGAATTAATAGAGAAACTTGGTCCCTAGAGTAGGATTTAAAAGTGAGTGGTCTCTGTTGCAGATTTTGGTTAATTTTAGATCCCAGTGATCTTTACAGAGGAAGGGAGCACAAATATCTATTATAAATAGCATCAGAGATTCTATTTTTAGATTGTTAACTAAAGGAGTTTCTCTTTAATTTAGCAAGAGAATGCTTGTATTCCATTGTTACTGAGTATCCAAGACAAGTTGATTATGTATTAAATTCCAATGACGACTGGGGGCAATGGCTCATGCCTGTAATCCCAGCACCTCAGGAGGCCGAGGGGGGTCGATCACATGAGGCCAGGAGTTAGAAACCAGCCTGGCTAACATGGTGAAACCTCCTCTCTCCTAAAGATATAAAAATTAGCTGGGTGTGGTGGGGTGCACCTGTAGTCTTAGCTACTAGGGAGGCTGAAACATGAGAATTGCTTGAACCTGGGAGATGGAGGTTGCAGTGGGCCAAGATCCTGACACTGCACTCCAGCCTAGGAGACAGAGCTAGGTTGTGTCTCAAAAAGACAAACAAAAAAAACTAATGATGATGAAACAGTGTGATAACCATATTGGTATTGGTGACAATATTATTGAAAAAAGTTTTAAAAATAAAACCATAAGACATATGATCCCTTGAAATAATAACAATAAAATTTAATCAGCAATAGAATTTTCCAAATCATAGGAGAAAATTGTATGATGTATTGGCAGGAGAAAAGTTTAGTGCAGGGCAGCAGGTGCTGTGTGTAAGGAAGATTGAGATAAATTATTTAAGTTTTCAGAGTTTTTATACTTGTGTAATATTCAGATTTACCCATGCTTTAGAGCACAGAGCAAATCCCTTCTTTTCCTGTCCATGACTTAAGAACTTCTTCCTACTCTTCTAGTGCATTAAAAAAGTCTCAGTTATAGCATTTTGCACAATCTAGTTTGTAATCCCACCTAAAAATTTATGACAGTCTTTTCCCTCTAGAGCAATGGTATCCAATAGAAACATAATGTGAGTGACTTATGTCATTTAAAATTTTCTAGTAGCCATATTTGAAAAGGTAAAAAATGTAGGGATAACAAGTTTAGTAATATTTTAATTTTATCTAAAATAGAATGATTTCAATGTATAGCCAATGTAAAATTATTAATGAAATATTACATATTTTTCATACTAAGTCTTTGAAATCCATTGTACATTATATAGTTAAGGTACATCTTAATTTGGACTAACCACATATTAAGTGTTCAATAGATACACATAGGCAAGTGGCTACTGGTTTGAACAGAAACGCTCTAGAACTTATTTCTCTACAATGTACCTTATTATTTTTAGAATCTTCTGTAATACCATGAGTAACATTTGGCACATAAGAGATACTCGGTATAAAAAATATATTGAATTAAGCTTATCTTTAGTTATTTCAAGGCAATGAGATCAGTGAGAATCTATGAGTAGCTTTAACCATGCAAAGAAGTTCTTGTCTCAAACAGGAGCACTGACCTGGGCCAAAATCATCCTGTCCAATGACACTTCTAGAAGCACATGAAAACATAAGCATGCTAGTGAGAGTTAAATGGGCCCAGAAACAAGTGCTGGGCATTTGTTTGACGGCCCAGTGGATTCTGCTTTGACTCCAGCTCTGAGTGTGAACCATCCCTTCCAGGACGCTGACCTGAGTTTCCTGGCCATGAGGCACACCTCTTTCACTGCATCTGGTACCCGGACACTGAGTAACCTTCCCTTCCTTTTGAGGTAGCACTGACTCTTGGACTCTGGCTTTAGAATTCTTTGAAATTGGACCAGGAGAGGCAAGGACACTAAATAGCATCCTTTATCCCTTAATCTTTAAGTAATCACCAGAAAAGCTGAACAGAAAAGCACTGGTGTAGGCCAGTTCTTTGAAAGGGGAGCTCCTCAACCCTTTTCTGAAGCCAGTGTGATAATATATCCTCAAGAGCTGAGGTCTTTAAGCCACGGCATCTAAAAGCAAGGATGAGTTACTAGACTGACCATGAACTCAAAATCCACTTTCAGTCCTCCAATTTATAAACCTTCTTCTGTGACCCAATAGACTTGTCTAAATTCCCTGATAAAAACTTGATAGTTGGCCGGGCGCAGTGGCTCACGCCTGTAATCCCAGCACTTTGGGATGCCGACGCGGGTGGATCACGAGGTCAGGAGATCGAGACCATCCTGGCTAACAGGGTGAAACCCTGTCTCTACTAAAAAATACAAAAAATTAGCCGGGCGTCCTGGCGGGCGCCTGTAGTCCCAGCTACTCGGGAGGCTGAGGCAGGAGAATGGCGTGAACCCGGGAGGCGGAGCTTGCGGTGAGCCGAGATTGCGCCACTGCGCTCCAGCCTGGGGGACAGAGCGAGACTCCGTCACAAAAAAGCAAAACAAAACAACAACAAAAAAACTTGATAGTTTGCCAACAATCCACTATTTTGTAGTCTAGTTAATTTTTTTTTTTTAAGACGGAGTCTTGCTCTGTCGCCAGGCTGGAGTGCAGTGGCCCAGTCTCGGCTCACTGCAGTCTCCACCTCCCAGGTTCAAGCGATTCCTCTGCCTTAGCCTCCCGCATAGCTGGGACTACAGGCATGTGCCACCACGCCCCGCTAATTTTTTGTATTTTTAGTAGAGATGGGGTTTCAACATGTTGGCCAGGATGTTCTCGATCTCCTAACCTCGTGATCCGCCCGCTGTGGCCTCCCAAAGTGCTGAGATTACAGGCGTGAGCCACTAATGTTTATATATGTTATATATTTATATATATAAATATGTTATATATTTATATATAATATATATATCTATGTTATATATTTATATATAATATATATATCCTGGCCAATATATAATATATATAAATATATAATATTTAATATGATATATATAATAAATATATAATTATATATTGTATATTTATATAAAATATATTATTTTACATATTTATATATTATATTTTATATATTTATATATTATATTATATATATTATATATTTATATATTTATATATATATAAATATATATAAATTTTAAAAATCATTTTAAAATCATTTTGTTTAAAATCATTTTGTCTTTAGGACGACAGTTTGCTTTAAGTTGTTTTCTTTGAAGAATATTAATTTTAGGTTATCCCTACGTGACTATTAATTGCTGTCACCAGATACTGTGAATTTATCTTTTTTTAATTCATAGTGTATTTTTATTTTTAATTTGTATAGGTAGAGGGAAGAAAGACATCTTTAATTGGATTAACATTTTAGTTCATTAGATAAGCCCGCCTGCGAAGTGGCTCACGCCTGTAATCCCAGCACTTTGGGAGGCCAAGGTGGTGGGATTGGCTGAGGTCAGGAGTTAGAGACCAGCCTGGCTAACATGGTGAAGCCCCATTTCTACTAAAAATACAAAAATTTAGCAAGGTGTGGCTGCAGGCGCCTGTAATCCCAGCTACTCAGGTTGCTAAAGCTTGAACCCCAGGAGGCAGAGGTTGCAGTGAGCCAAGACTGTGCCACTGCACTCCAGCTTGTGCAATAAGAGCGAAACTCCATCTCGAAAGACAAACAAAAAAAAAGGTAAGCCATAGGTGAGCAATAAAGAGAAAACAGATAGGCTTTTGATTCACACAAGACTGGGTTTAATTTCTAGCTTCCTCACTTCGCAGGTGTGACTTTGCAAACATTACTTAACACCAAGTATGATTTTCTATACAAAAAGGAGAATAATAATATGTCCTTTAAGGACAGTTTTGTGGGAATAACATTATGAATATTAGCAGCATTTAATTCAGTGTCTCATACATTCTCATTAGCATCATTAACTGAACTTGCTATGACTACTACTAATATCATTACTCCTAATATTGTTTTAAGCCTTCAGATGGCTCTCATTTGTCTGACTTCTAGCTGATTTTGAAGAACAAAATATTTTATCAGACTAAGGAAGAAATAGAGAATTCTTCACTTAAATCTTTGCGTCTTTAAGATTCGTGAACAGAGCATATTTTCTTGCCCTTCAAAGGACTTTATGTTAGCCACTTCTAGTATGCCATATCCCAGTGGGACGTGAGTCTTTCTGCCCCTTCCTTTCAGCCTTGGTGGTGATTTACAAGGATAAACACTTGAGCACTCAACATACTTATGTTTATTAGTACACGTAAATGGTTAATTCTACACTGACAGGCACATATTAAATTGGTTCTGTTCCTAATAATGAAGTTATATCTTTGTTATTTTAGCACAGCCCTCATGCTTGCCGTATGTCATGGATCATCAGAGATAGTCGGCATTCTTCTTCAGCAAAATATTGACATCTGTGCTGAAGATATGTGTGGAATGACTGCAGGAGGTTATGCTGTTGCTAGTAGATTTAATCCATTAGTGTTTATATTTAAAGGGTAGGTGAGATTTCATAGTTTGTTTCAGGTAATTTTTGAATGTCAGTGAGTTAGTTCACTTCATCAGCCAGAAACTAGGCAAAAAGCTAAACTAGTCGGAAGGAGTAATGGGTCCAGGATTCTTTATTTTAGGACTTCCAACAACTTTATCCCTAGGGATCCTAATGTTGTCTACTTGATTTGCAGTATAACCCCCATCCATGGGATAAACATAGTGTCACAATTTTGATTTTTCTAATTAGTTATTTGGGTCTTGAAATGTCCACTTCAGCAGAAAACCTGATAGTGTCCCTGGGGGCTGTCTTCCATACCTTCATCCTTGAATTTTTAAAAAGAATCTAAGGGGTTCCCTAAGTCCAAGGAAGACATTCCTTTTGTTTAAGTCAGAAGGATTGGGGGCGGGTGGGAAATGCCCGTTCTCTTCATTTTGTTGTTTCCATTGATTCTGTTGCTGCATTGGTGCCATTGAAACTACTCTTGCAGTCTGGTAATGATTGACCTTTGCCACCAGGATGCTCTTACTAATACAGATCCCTCAGTCTTCATAGTGATCCATATGTAGACTTCAAAGTTATTTCATTTTTTTAAAGTTCACATACATATTCTCAGCCATTGTTTCCAAAGTACCAGCACCCTGCTCTGGCAGCTAGGACGTTTAGCTTTAGCCACACACATAGTAAGCAAATTGACCCTTCTCCTCCCACTCAAAACCTGATGTGAAACCCACATCTTAGCCTGGACTTGGCCTAGACCTTCATGGTAAGTTATCCTTTGAGTGGCTTTTTTCTGTTTTCTCTAGCAAATATTAGTTGTGATAGTTGGAAACTGTAAGTCAGGTTGAAATAATTACAGGAAGAAATTAGAGATCCTTTTTATTTTGTTACCACATCTATATCCCTGGACCTTTATAATCTGTATAGCACCATTTTGTAGGTAGTGGAAGGTCTCATCTTATTCTGGAAGATCCCATGTCATCTTTCTCAAGTTACAGTGGGTTCCAACTTGTGCTTGTCCCCTCAAGTGATTCTTTTTTTCCTAAAAGTAAAAATCTCCCATGCTACCTGCATCTCTACCTCAAGTTTTTAAAATATTTTCAAATTCTGCATCACCATGAAGCCATTCAATAGACTTCACAAAACCCCAGGTAAGTTGGTTAGATTTAACAGAGCTAAGCCTCATCCATCACTGATCAGTCTTCAGGTATAAAAGTAGGGATTCATGCTGGCATCAGCAGTACATATAGTAAAATTGAAACAACTTTGAGAAGATCAGCATGGCCCCTGCACGAGGATGACACACAGATCTGTGAAGTGTTGTATATTTCTTGCAGTTTCCAAAAGGGCATGTGACTACTTTCTAACTAGCTCCAAGGAAATGGTGTGAGTCAAAGCAAAATGGTTGTCACCCAGTATTGCAGTTGTGATTTTCATACAAGAAATATTGATGCAAGGTGATATATGAAATGAGATGTGGTAACACATAGGATCTTGTGTGCAATATGCTGTTAGTGCATCTCAGAAATGAGGAAATACCAACTTGCATCTTCCTTGTGGAACTTACAAAAAATAAAGGTAGCGTTTTTTCTTCCACAGCAGCTGGAAATGAGCATAGTGACTAAGCATCATTCTAACAAAGATTTGTTGATTCAGAGTTTCAGGAGGTAGATAAAGAGTAGTAATAGTCCAAGCCAGATGCTGACATCTATTAGTTTTCTGCCCTTGGTGTGATTGATGAGCTCAGTAATAGAGGCTAATCAGGTTATCCAATTTAATGAATTCATATATTTATAAATAAATTTCATTACAAATTATAAAATAGCTTAGATGCCTTGAATTACAAGCCACAAAGAATAGAACATCTAATAACCAAAAGTAGGAGTTAATAACAGAAAAGTGCAACTTTTGAACATTATAACCTACGAAGAAACTTTTTTTTGAAATTTATTTATGTTTTGTAGAGACAGGGTATCCCTATGTTGCCCAGGCTGGTCTTGAATTTCTGGGCTCAAGTTGTCATCCTGTCTCAGCATCCTAAAGTGCTTGCATCACAGGCATGAGCCACTGCACCAGGCCAAAACATTGGATTTTATTGGGAATTTTAAAATAGTTTCAGCAATAAGGTTGAACAACAAGGTATTTCATTGCTTCACTATTTATTCGAGCATTTTAAAAACGTTATCATGTTGAATCTTTATAATAACCTAGTGAAATCAGGCTCTAAAATTCTCATTTTTAGAAGACGTTGAGCCTAACAAGCAACTTGTTCAAGAAAAAATACCTGTTGGTTACCACACTAGGACTTATTCTGAATTAAGGACATTTTCCATTATGCCAAGCTAACTCTAGTTAATTTACGGAATTATGCTGACCTCAATTCATGAGTATTTCATCTTACTTTCTTTCTTCTTTTATTAGCAGCTTAATAAGTTCCTAGAGCTTACAAACTTAAAGTCTCTGGAATAAGTAATGTTCTGCTGTTAGCTCTGATATTGTCTGAAATAGTCTAAGAACTTAATAAATTTGGAAAATTTGGTAAATGTTAAAATAGTAATTTTATTTATTACATTTTTATACATAGCATTCATCAATGTCTTTTGGAATATAAACAAAAGATATCTAAAAATCCTCAAAATAGCAATCCAGGTAAGACTTCTGATAGTAAACTACTCTTGGTGGTGCTACCATAAGGTTATGGAAATGTTGATCATACAATAGCAATTAAAAAAGCAATGTGGAAATAGGATGTGTTTACATATATACATATGTGTGTGTGTACATATATATATATAGCTTTGATTCAATTTTTTAGTTTATAATTCAGAATTAGTTATAGGTAGTTTATAATCTCAGAAAATATTATCTGAAAAAATATGTTTTTAATTATGGTACCTAAAATTTTATATAATACTTTTGTATAAATAAGTAAAACAATTTTTAAGTTTGTATACTGTATGTTTCCTCAATTGTCATAACAACTTAGGCTTTTTACAAAATGTGTAACCCTTGGTGTGATTGATGAGCTCAGTAATAGGGGATAATCAGGTTATCCAATTTAATGAATTAATACATTTATAAATACATTTTATTACAAATTATAAAGTAGCTTAGATGCCCTGAATTAAAAGCCACAAAGAATAGAACATCTAATGAGGAAAAGTAGGAATTAATAACAAAAACTGCAACATTTGAATATTATAACCTATGAAGAAACATGGTTTTATTTACTTATATATTTAATTGTAGAGACAGGGTCTCCTTTTGTTGCCCAGGCTGGTCTTGAACTTCTGGGCTCTATTTAATTTTTACAATAAATGGTTTACATTTAGTAAATGAGAATTAATTACAGTTGAGTCTTGAGTAACATGAGAGTTAGGGTGCCAATCTCCCAAGCAGCTGAAAATCTGCTTTATATGAAAATCTGTTCCTTTTGACTCCTCCAAAACTCTACTAATAGTCTACTGTTGACCTGTGAAGCCTTACTGAAAGCATAAACAGTGAATTAACACATAGTTTCTATGTCATATGTACTATATACTGTATTCTTACAATAAAGTGAGCTGGAGAAAAGAAACTTTTAAGGAGGAAAAAATATATTCACTATTTATTAAGTGGAAGTGAATTATTATTCATAAAGGTCGTTCTCATTGCCTTCATGTTGAGTAGGCTGATAAGGAGGGGGGAGAGGAGAGATTTGTCTTACTATCTTGCAGTGGGAAAGGAAAAGAAAAATCTGTTTTTTAGTGGGCTCCTACATTGAAAACCCTTATTCAAGGATCAACTGTGTGACATAGTGACTTGTGCCACTAAAAAAGTAAGAATCTTTAGAATTTGGAACTCAATAATACTTTTCTGGCACCATAAACAAATGTCAACAAGAATTACAAAACTTAGCCAGGGTGCATCAGTACCAATAGGATATTATTTTTCAAAGATACCTACTGAGTGCAGAAATCAGAAAAGCAAATCTTTTTTGAGAAGCCCAGGTTATATTACATAGTCTTGTACTAAAAGGTCTCACTATTATCAACTCCATTCCCTCTAAGTTGAAACCCAATAAAATATATTTACTTCATTAGGACAAGATGTGTTGTTCTATCTGCTGGACAATTAGTGTGTTAATAGTAATTTTGTTATAAAAAGATACTCTATTTCTACTGGCCAAAATATTAACATAAATATTCAAATAGCTTAACACTAGGCTCAACAAATTATAATAAAAGTACAAAAATTTTTCACAATGACAAAAATGCTACTGTGACATCTAAATGTGACACAATGCATTGTAAAATATGAACTGTATGAGCACATCTTTAATTTATTACATATTTATCAAAGGACTTCTATAAGTTAGGTTTGGCAAGTTTCAGGAGACAAATATGGAATACACATAGTCTGGGTCTTTTCAGGTGCTCATAATATAGTAGAGCTGTCCCTACTGAATTTCTGCATTTTTCCGAGATAATTTCATATAACATGTTTTTTATTCATTTATCCACTTGTCCACTTAACAAATAAGTGTCAAGTATCTTTAAGGTACTAAGCATCTTCCTCATTATTATCATTGTCATTTTTTATTATTTACTACTTTATTAAGGTACTAAGCATTTTTCTTGTTATCTTTTTCTTAATATTTACTACTTTATTTAGTGTTTGTGCCAGAACCCCTTTGGGAGCTTATAATTATCACATTATGTCATTACCATATTCAGTATGTGTCAGACGTTTTATATCCAGGGTGAACAATTAAAGCTTTAACAAGTTTGGTAGTGTCTAGTAGTGGTGGCTCACTCCTGTAATCCTAGCATTTTAGGAGGCCAAGAGAGATGGATTGCTTGAGCTCAGGAGTTTGGGACCAGCCTGACCAACATGGTGAAACCCGTCTCTACTACATAGGAAAAATTAGCCTGGCGTGATGGCGCGATCCCAGCTACTTGGTAGGCTGAAGTAGGAGAATCGCTTGAACCCTGGAGGTGGAGGTTGCAGTGAGCTGAGATCGCGCCACTGCACTCCAGCCTGGGCGAGGGAGCGCGACTCCGTCTCAAAAAAAAAAAAAAAAAAGAGAAAAGTTTGGTAGTATCTAAGGAAAGCATGCAGAATGAGTAGAAGTTTGCCAGGTAAAGAGTCAGAAGGATGATATTTAGCGGAAGGAAAATTTAACCAAGTTGTGTGTTTGGCAGAAGGAACATCTGAAGGAACGCCTGTCAAGTCTGAACCCTTGGCGGAAAAAGAAGCCTGAGTAGGCTGAACGCTTGGTGGAGGGAGCGCCTAAACAGGCTGCACCCTTGGCGGAGGGAACATCTGACAAAATTCAATGTTTGGGGAAAGCGACATCTGGAAATATTGAACAGTCTGCAGAAGAAATACCTAGGAAAATTACGAGGCCTGCAAAAGAAACATCTGAGAAATTTGCATGGATAGCCCAAGAAAGACCCAGAAAATCACATGGGAGGAAAAAGAAGCATCTGAAGAGACTGAATGCGTGGGGGAGTAAAATCTAATAAAACTGAAGCTTCGGGCCCGGCGCGGTAGCTCGCATCTGTAATCCCAGCACTTTGGTAGGCCGAGGCGGGCGGATTGCCTAAGGTCAGGAGTTTGAGACCAGTCTGGCCGACATTGTGAAACCCCGTCTCTATTAAAAATACAAAAAATTAGCTAGCCCTGGTTGTGCGCGCCTGTAATCCCAGCTACTTCGCAGGCTGAGGCAGGGGAATTGCTTGAACCAGGGAGGTGGAGGTTGCAGTGAGCCGAGATCATGCCACTGCACTCCAGCCTGGACACAGAGCGAGACTCCGTCTCAAAAAAAAAAAAAAAAAATTCAAAACTGAAGTCTTGGAAGAAGGAACAGCTAAGATGATCACATGTCCTACAAAAGAAACATCTACAAAAGCAAGTACAAATGGTAAGATGCTTGAGTTAACGTTGTAGGGTTTATTGGCCCTTCGGGTTCCCAAGTGGAAATAGCGTGATATGGGAGTAGTTGGGAATGACTTGAATATCTAGATAAGGCAAGCTTAGGCAACACTTATTAATAGTATAAAAATGAATAGACCTTATTCTGTAGGCCCTGAAAAATCCTCACAATACTTCTGGCTGTAAATACTAGATGAACTAACAATGGCTAAAAACATAGGAACCAAAGTTGTTTTGGTGGTACAGGGATATCATAGGATCCCACTGTTGTTTTTTTTTTTTTTGAAACGGAATCTCGCACTGTCGCCTGGGCTGAAGTGCAACAGCGCGATCTTGTCTCACTGCAACTTCCGCCTCTCGGTTTCACGCGATTCTCCTGCTTCAGCCTCCTGAGTAGCTAGGATTACAGGTGCCTGCCACCACCCCCGACTATATTTTATATTTTTAGTAGAAACGGAGTTTCACTATGTTGGCCAGAGTCGAACTCCTGACCTCGTAATCCGCCCACCTCGGCCTCCAAAAGTGCTGGGATTACAGGCGTAAGCCACCGCGCCCGTCCAGGATTCCACTTTTGGTTGACTAATTAGCAACAGCTCCAATCATCATGCTCTCTCAAGACAATATTTGAAGGCTGGAAGGGCTGCTTTTGTTCACATGTTTGTTTTAAATAGGGAGAAAACTTGGAAGCTTGCAGTAATCTTCCTGTAACATTTTATTGGCTGGATTGTACTACATGCTCATTTCAAAACCAGTCACTAGGAAAGCAAATGTAATTACTGTGATTAGCTTAGAATAATTGGAGATGGGATGGGGGAATGGAGTAATAAATATCTAAATAAACTTGTATTTCTGCAGCAAGAAAGATTAAATAATGACTATGCATAGGAAGCCAGCAATGTTTTCTGCAGGGATTCATTGGTAAACTTTGAGCAGAGGAGTCACAAGATTAGATTTGAGTATCAGGGCATTCTGGTCATGGTATAAAGCAGAGATTGGCAAACTTTTCCTGTAAAGCGCCAGATAGGAAATATGTTAGGCTATGTGGTCTCTATCACAGCTATTCAGCTCTGCAATGTAGGGTGAAAGCAGTCATATGTGCATGATTGTACGCCAATAAAACTTTGTATAAAAGTCCATTTAGTAAGCTGAATTTAGCCTGTGGCCTATAGTTTGCTGGCCCTTCCTATGGAAGATAGATGGAGAGTAATCACATAAAAAAGTTAAAGACAAAGGAAGCTTTTGTAGTAGTTCATGCTATAGTCTCTTTTTTTTTTTTTGGTCACCAATTTGTGGCCTAGTATCAATCTATTATGAGAGTTTGACCCATCCAAGGTAAAATGAATCAAGTTCATTTTACACACTTAAACATGTAGGTCTTCCTTTGCCATGATTTTATTTTGATGTGTTTTACTGAATTGCAATTCTAACAAATTGACTATAGAAGTGGTGGTTGTTATCCACCAATAGAATATACAGGCTACAGAAGAAGGTCCACGAATTCATGAATGAAAATAGACTTGTATATGTTTTAAAAATCTATAATAATAAATGTTCTCATGAATGTATTGGTGATTAACCTTTTATAGATCAGATGTTCCCATCAGAATCCAAACAAGAGGAAGATGAAGAATATTCTTGGGATTCTGTGGTACTGTGTATTATTGATGTTATTATTCTCTAAAAGTATTAATGTTGAGTGATGTGAAAATATAAAATCAGAGGCTTTGACTTGGTTTTCTTACCCCTGCATATGCTCACAAGAAATTCTGATATTTCTAAAAACATACTTGGATGGGTGTGGTGGCTCACGCCTGTAATCCCAGCACTTTGGGAGACTGAGGCAGGTGGATCACCTGAGGTCAGGAGTTCAAGACCAGCCTGGCTAACATGATGAAACCCCATCTGTACTAAAAATACAAAATTAGCTGGGCATGGTGGCACATGCCTGTAACCCCAGCTATTCGGAAGGCTGAGGCAGGAGAATCACTTGAACCTGGGAGCTGGAGTTTGCAGTGGGCTGAGATTGGGCCATTGCACTCCAGCCTGGGCAACAGAATGAGACTCTGTCTCCAAAAAAACATACTTAATAAAAAAAAAATACTATGGGCTACGTAGATTATTGCTTGATAGTGAAATTCTGCTAATTTTCAGAATTAGTTTTAGACACATTGTTGTATAGTGTAAAAAATAAGGCTTAGAATTCACAAGTAATTCACATGAGTCCTGAGGTGAAATTTGGCTAAAAACTAAAGAATTACTCTGAGTCCACCTATGGGCAAATATATGATTCGGTGGTATATCTAGATGTACAAAAGTTCTAATTGGATTTATAGAAAAACAGTTTAAGCTGCAGTTTTGTACAACTTGGAACCTGAAAAGATAATGCTTGGAACTTGAAAATATTGATAATCTGTATTGTCCAGTATAGATCTGAAGGAACATTTCAGGAGATAAAAATGCATAAGCAATAGGAAGCCAGTGGGACTATAATAACAACAATTTGGTTGAGTAGTATTTTAAAAAGTAGAAATTATTTTTACAAATAGAACACTTTGAGTCCCTTTGTGGTGGCTATGCTTATAGCAACATTAGTATCGAATAACAATGATGTAGTCCAAGGTCACAACTGTGGAAAGACACGGGAAGTGCCTGACCTCTTAGATACAAGCACCTGCTGCACAGTGGTAACAAAAACGAGTAGAAGTCAATAGACAAGTAGTCTTTATCTAATTTGTCCATAGACAAAAAAAGACTCTAATATTTGTCTGCTTTCATTTAAACATAACATAAATATAAGTTTTTCTTACTACTTTTTCATTTTATTCAAGTACTTTTTCTATCAACAGACATTTTATCAAAAACATTTTGATTATTTTAAGCCCCTGTTTATCTAAATAAAGCAGCTTTTACAATGTTCTGAGTATCCTTTATATGACTTATTCTTAAGATTCTCTTTATGCCATGCATCATTTTAACACTAAATAATTCTATAATCATGAATATTTTCAATGTTTAATGCATTATGTGGTATGGCAGGTAACAAGTGTATTATATTTTGTTTGAAATGCCCTCTTGATTTTTGGTGAGGAAGACAAAGTAAAATATTTTTAGATGAGCTACTTTTTGAAATATGCAGATGAGTGAATATTTTTGTCAATATTATTTATTTTTCATGCTCAGTAACTGAGTCAATAGCTGCATGAAGATAACAGATAAGCTTGATCTAGAGAGCATATGTGAGGTTTTCGATCAAAATGTGATTTTCAATATGTGCCTCTCCTTAAATCAAA
Organism: Homo sapiens; assembly: GCF_000001405.40. Lineage (NCBI taxonomy): Eukaryota > Metazoa > Chordata > Mammalia > Primates > Hominidae > Homo > Homo sapiens. Next base: position 37,447 of record NW_003315934.1, read on the forward strand.
TTGCCTTTGAAGTCATAAACTGAGTTTAAAAAATTTTAATTAGGAAATTTTGATGCTTCTTATTATTTTAAAATTGAAATTATTTATTGATATTACTTCTAACAGAGTCTCTCTGAGGGTGCTTCACAGAATTTTGTGTGTTTACCTGAGGCTACGTATCAAAAAGTAGTCAAGACAATAAATAGAAAAGTAGACGGTAAGAACCAGTTTTTATTTGAAAAGTCATTTGACCAAATGTTTGACTAGATGCATGAGGACTGATATACTCTAATTGCAAAAGAAAATTACCCACTAAATGCATAACATTGAAAAGAAAGAAGTAAAATGATGATAAGTTATGTATCTCCTCAGGTGTTGGCAACAGTTTATGTAGAGTGTGAAAAAAAAGAACTGAATTATTTGTTTGAATCCAAGATACTCTGAGACCTGAGGAAAGGCAGGAAATAAGGAACAGAAAAGGAGTAAAAGAGAAAATGAAGACTAAGAAAGACAGAGAGAGTACAGGGAGTACAGGAAGGAACAAGAAGCAGGTTTATACAATGGAGGTGGCAAAATAAACTTTTTTTTTTTTTTTTTTTTTTTTTTTTAGAAAAAGACAGACCATGGTTAGAAAGATGGCAAGAATATAAAATAATCTTCCAGTACCAAAACTTGTCAAAAAATCACAGCTAAAGTTTTCTCACTTTTCCTGTCTTTTTCACTACTGAGAAGGCATTAGGGATGGAATTACCTGAGCATGCAGACCTGTGTTTTATTTGCAATAGGTGAATATTAGCATATAATATTGGTGTATATAATATTTCAAGTGACTATAACTGAAACAGAACAGGACCAATAACAATGGTAGCATGTTGACTTATGAACATGAAAGGTAGCACAAACATACACTGGCACTTGCTCATGTGCATTCACACTCAAACACACACATACAGATACACACACACAGATACACACAAACACACAAACCCACTGAGTCTGCTCAACAAAATAGCTGAGTTCCTTGAGATTCCCAAAAGAAAAATGAGTCACTGTGGTTTACCAAAATTTTGGTCTTTCCTCTGTGCCCATTAATTTCTTAACTAGCAATACTGCAATCTTATTTTTTCCCAGGGCATGCTGTGAACCCATACAAAGTAAGTTCACTCAATTTGTCTCATCAAATCGTGCATAATAAACTAGATATTTTTTCATCTTTTCCTCGGTCAAAACGCCCTTATATAAGAAAATGAATACAAATGCCTCTCTTCTTGATTCTTCACCTTCTACATAGTTACAACTATTTCCACCACAACCATAATCAATTTAGTACAGTCTCAGTCTTAAAACCCCCCAAAAAGATGTTTTATTAGAATGTGAAAACTGATAGAAATATAACTTGTATAAATTGTTTCTTCACGGAAGCAGTGCCATGTTCATTTTTTACCAACAAATACATTATGTTCAGAATTGCTATTTAGCCAAATACATTTCATTAACTATCTTCTCTGATGTTTTCTATATATTTTCTACATATTTTTATATTTTTGTATGATTTACTTTAGTGTTCTTAGAAATATCTGTTACATATTTCATTGTCTATGAGAGATGACTGATTGATAAATAAGATTCTTAAGGGATATCAACTCTCCAAAGTACAAAGAATTACATTTAATCACTTTAAACATGCCTGACCATATGGTGTGCAGGTATTCTACAGAAATGGGCTTAAAGTTTTCATAAAATATACTTTAAATTAAAACCTGCTATAATTACTGTGAGATGTTCTTCTCTCAGTGCACCAATAGCTTCAGAATTAACATGTGATGCCCTGGAAAAGCCTCACACATTCTCATAAGAAATGATCAATTGAGCTACCATTTCACATGTGAAAGTATGATGAGTCTAGATCCACACTCGATGAAATGTGAACACAGAGCCACCAGACAAAATATAAACATGTAATAACCAAAATATATTCCTTCACAGATGAAATGGTTGGATTTAAACCTTTTAAGACCAAAAAGATTAAAACACAAACACACACGCACACACACACACAAGCAACTTCGAAAGCCATGTTATCATTAAAAGCCTATTTACTACTTGCCACTTGACAATTCTATGTATGGTAGCAAATGGTAGTTCTAAAGTGTGATGAGAGAATCCCTGGAGTTCAAGGTCCCATGCATAGTTACCATGTGGTAAAATGATATTTTTGTTATTTTCCCTTTTCACTCTTATTTTCATAAAAGGTTGCACTGAAATTTTTCAGCCATGATATGTCACCGTGCCAGAGCTCTAATGGTTAATAGGACAAAGTTGCCATAGTTACTGGCATGTATAGCTATTTATGCTTGTATTTTAACTATTTTTATTTTAATTCAAAATATAGAATGAAGCAGCAGATATAATAACTGAGACAAAAGCTCATTGACACCTGCAATAATCTTCATGTTGATATTTAGTGACTATGAAGAGTCTATTTAAATGACATGAAGACTCAAATGGCACAAAATGAGGCATCAAAATGAATTCAAGCAAAGAGAATAGTGTGAGTATGGATACGTCTGAAATACATAACTCCAATCAAAAAAAGTGCAGAATGATGACTACAGTGTACAACCATTTCTCTCAACTTTTAGGACTTGAAATCATACTCTACATATTACCTAAGACCATGCACATATGTTGTACCATGTTTTAAACATGCATGATAATGGTATTTGAAAACCTAGTTCAGACTGCTGCTTACTGCTTAGGCAATATTTTGTAGTAGCATGAAGACACGAATGCTAAATGCTTCACAATCACTGTTTTAAAATGCTTTGTCTCCCAAAATGTCATGGAGGAATCATTAAGTATTCTCCTTATTTTAAAAATTAAAGCCTTTCACAACCCACACAGATACACACACAGACTGAGTTGGATAACCAGAATAACTGCTTTCTAGGATTCTCAAGGTGAAAACCCTAACAGGTGGTAAAGTTGAAATAAAAATTTTCATGTCAGCAAGTGAGACTTTGCTCTGGGTAAAGATCACAATTCTAATCAGCCTTTGAAGCATTGACACAAGTTTGCAGTTTCAAAATTTACATCCTTGAATTTCAAACATGTAAAGAAATTCGAAAGAGGAAACAGTGGAGTGTCAGATCATAGAAAGAGGGAAACCTGAAATTGAGATGATTTTTTTTTTGTTTCTTTTTGTTTTGAGACAGAGTCTCTCTCTGTCACCCAGGCTGGAGTGCAGTGGCACAACCTTGGCTCACTGCAAGCTCTGCCTCCTGGGTTCATGCCATTCTCCTGCCTCAGCCTCCCGAGTAGCTGGGACTACAGGCACCCGCGACCACGACCAGCTAATTTTTTGTATTTTTAGTAGAGACGAGGTTTCACGTGTTAGCTGGGATGGTCTCAATCTCCTGACCTCGTGATCCCCCCACCTTGGCCTCCCAAAGTGCTGGGATTACAGGTGTGAGCCACCGCGCCTGGCCAGATGATATTTTTTAATTGGTTGTTTTTGTAAATATCGGGTTCTCAAACTTAAATACCAGCATAATCATTATTTAGAAAAAAATCTTTCCATCAAATTTGTAATAATCACTGAAAATGTAAAAACTATAGACATTTTAAATATTTGAATTTTTTTGACAAATTTCATTAGATGGCTAAATTCACCTGTTCTGAAGGTTGGTACATTCATCAATCCTTTGAGTGTACTTGAAACAAAACCTCTCATTTTTATTATAGGCTGAACAAGTTTGAAACCCAATGATTAATAAATAACGTATATTCTGTAAAATGCAGACTTAATAGTTCTGGATGGAACTGTAGAAGTTACTAGTGCAGAGCCTATAGACATTTTAAATCTCTGCATTCCCCTGGCAAATTACCTGAGATGCTTAAAATTCCCTCTTCTGGATGTTGGTACATTCGTCCACCCTTTCATCTAGGTGAGACAGAATCTTTCATTTCCAAGAGGTTGAACGGGTTTGGAAACACAATGCTTAATAAATAATGTATATTCTGTAAAATATGGACTTAGTAATCCCGGATGGAGCTTAGAAGTTACTAGCTCAGGGCCTATAGATATTTTAAATCTCCATATTCCCCTGGCAAATCCGCTTAGGCGGCTAAAAGTTTCCTCTTCTGAATGTTGGTACATTCATCAACCCTTTCATCTAGGTGAGACAGAATCTTTCATATCCAATAGAGGCTGAATGGGGTTGGAAACCCAATGCTTAATAAATAACCTATATGCTGTGAAATACAGTCTTAGTAGTCCCGAATGGAGCTGTAGAAGTTACTAGCTCAGGGCCTATAGACATTTTAAATCTCTGCTTTCCCCTGGCAAATTTCCTTAGGTTGCTAAAAGTTCCCTCTTCTAAATTTTGGCACATTCATGCACCCTTTCATCTAGGTGAGACAGAATCTTTCATTTCCAATAGAGGCTGAACAGGTTCAGAAGCCCAGTGCTTAATAAATAATGTATATTCAGTAAAATACAGATTTAGCAGTCCCAGATGGAGCTGTGGAAGTTATTAGCTCAGGGCCTACAGACATTTTAAATCTCTGCATTCCCCTAGCAAATTCCTTTAGGTGGCTACACATTTCCTTTTCTGAATATTAGTACATTCATCCACCCTTTTGTCTCATTGAGACAGAATCTTTCATTTCCAATAGAGGCTGAATGGGTTTGGAAACTCTATGCTTAATAAATAACGTATACTCTGTAAAATATCGATGCAATCATCCCAGATAAAGCTGTAGAAGTTAGGAGCTCAGGGCCTATAGACATTTTAAATATCCGCATTCCCTGGCAAATTCTCTTAGGTGGCTTAAAGTTTCCTCTTCTGAATGTTGGTACATTCATCCACCCTTTCATCTAAGTGAGACAGAATCCTTCATTTCCAATAGAGGCTGAATGTGTTTGGAAACCCAATGATTAATAACATATATACTGTACAATACAGACTTAGTAGTCCTAGATAAAACTATAGAAGTTAGTAGCTCAAAGCTAATAGACACTTTAAATCACCGCATTCCCTGTCAAATTTCTTGAGGTGGCTAAAAGTTTCCTCTTCTGAATGTTGGTACATTCATCAACCCTTTCATCTAGGTGAGACAGAATCTTTCATATACAATAGAGGCTGAACGGGGTTGGAAACCCAATGCTAAATAAATAACGTATATTCTTTAGAATACAGACTTAGTAGTCCCAGATGGAGCTGTAGAAGTTACTAGCTCAGGGCCTAAAGACATTTTAAATCTCCGCATTCCCCTGACAAATTCCTTTAAATGGCTACAAGTTCCCTCTTCTGAATGTTACTACATTTGTCCAACTTTTCATCTAGGTGAGACAGAATCTTTCAGTTCCAATAGAGGCTGAATGGGTTTGGAAGCCCAATGCTTAATTAAAAAAAAATGTATTCTGTACAATATAGACTTAGTAGTCCCAGATGGAAGCGTGGAAGTTATTAGCTCAGCATTTATAGACATTTTAAATCTCCGCAGTCCCCTGGCAAATTCCCTGAGATGGTCAATGTTTTCTCTCCTGGATGTTGGTACATTCGTCCACCAATTCATCTAGGTGAGACAGAATCTTTCATTTCCAGTAGAGGCTGAACAGGTTTGTAAACCCAATGCTTCATAAATAACGTACATTCTGTAAAATACAGACTTAGTAATCCTGGATGGAGCTGTAGAATTTATTAGCTCAAGGCCCATAGACAAGTTAAATCTTTGCATTCCCCTGGAAAATTCCCTTAGGCAGCTAAAAGTTCCCTCTTCTGAATGTTGGTACGTTCGTCCACCCTTTTGTCTAGGTGAGACAGAATCTTTCATTTCAAATAGAGGCTGAACGGGGTTGGAAACCCAATGCTAAATAAGTAACATATATTCTGTAAAATACAGACATAATAGTCCCAGATGGAGGTGTAGAGGTTACTAGCTCAAAGCCCAGAGACATTTTAAATCTCCGCATTTTCCTGACAGATTTCTTTACCTGGCTAAAAGTTTTCTCTTCTGAATGTCATAACATTCGTCAATCTTTTTGTGTAGGTGACACTGAATCTGCAATACTCTTTCGAGGTTCAATGGCTTTGGAAACCCAGTGCTTAATAAATAACATATATTCTATACCACACAAACTTAGTAGTCCTAGATGGAGCTGTAGAGGTTATTAGCTTGTTGTAACCAAGCGAGTTACAGAGAAACACCACACTTTGAGACTAATTCAGGAGTCCTTTATTTGCTGGCAACCAAGAGATGGCTAGTGCTCAAAATTTTCTCAGCCCCGAAGAAGGGGCTAGATTTTCTTTTATATTTTGGTTTAGAAAGGGGAGGGGGAGCCTAGCTGAAGCAATCTTACAAAAGCAAAACAGGCAAAAAAAGTTAAAAAGATAAATGGTTACAGGAAAACAAACAGTTCCAGGTGCAGGGGCTTTAAATCTATTACAAGGTGATAGATGTGGGGGCTTTGGGTGCTATCAACTGGACACAAATACAGGGGCTTTGGGTACTATCAACTGGGTGAATTCCTGGGAGCTGCGAATATAGCTTGCCACAGTATCTTATCAGTAATTGCATTCTTGGATGTGCTGGGAGTCAGCTTGCATAAGTCCTTGAGGAAGGGGGGTGGGTAAGGGGCTGCAAGTGAAGGAGCCAAAATGGAGTCTCTCCAGCTCTCTCAGCTAAGGAGAGTCAATTCAGGTTAAAACAAGGTAGGATATCACAAGCTCAAAGAAATTTTAAATATCTGCATTCCCCTGGCAGATTGCTTTACATGGCTAAAAGTTTTCTCTTCTGAATGTTGTCACATTCATCATTCTTTTTGTCTAGGTGACACTGAATCTGTAACTTTCAATAGAGGCTGAATGGGTTTGGAAACCCCGTGCTTAAGAAACAACATATATTCTGAACCACACAGTCTTAGTAGTACCAGAGGGAGCTGTAGAAATTACTAGCTCAGGGACAATAGACATTTTAAATCTTTGCAGTCCTCTGGTGGATTCACTTAGGTGGCTAAAAGTTCCCTCTACTGAATGTTGATACATGTGTGCATCTTTCATCTAGGTCAGACACAACCTGTCATTTCCAATAGAGGCTAAACGGATTTGAAAACCCTATGCTTAAAAAATAATGTGTATTTTGTACAATACAGACTTAGTACTTTCAGATAGAGCTGTAGAGGTTATTAGGTCAAAGCCCATAATCATTGTCAAACTCCACATTCCCCTGGCAGATTCCTTTACATGGCTAAAAGTTTTCTCCTCTGAATGTTGTTACATTCTTCAATCTTTTTGTCTAGGTGACACTGAATCTGCAATATTCTTATGAGGGTGAATGGCGTTGGAAATCCAGTGGTTAATAAATAACGTATATTCTGAACCACACAGACTTAGTAGTCTGAGATGGAGCTGTAGCAGTTACTAGCTCAGGGACCAGAGACATTTAAAATCTTTGCATTCCTCTGGAGGATTCACTTATGTGGCTAGAAGTTCTCTCCACTGAATGTTGATACATGCATGCACCCTTGCATCTAGGCGAGCCAGAATCTTTCATTTCCATTAGAGGCTGAACTGGTTTGGAAACCCAATTCTTATCAGAAAACGTAAATTCTGTGCAATACAGACTTAGAAGTCCCAGATAGAGCTGTAGAGTTTATTAGGTCATAGACATTTTAAATCTCCACATTCCCCTGGCAGATTCCTTTACATGGCTAAAAGTTTTCTCCTCTGACTGTTACATTCGTCAATCTTTTTGTCTAGGTGACACTGAATTTTGCCTTTTCTTTAGTAGCTGATTGGCATTGGAAACCCAGTGCTTGATAAATAATGTATATTCTGTACCACACAGAAGATGGAGCTGTAGAAGTTACTAGCACAGGGCCCATAGACATTTTAAATCCTCACATTCCTCTGGTGGATTCACTTAGGTGGCTCTAGGTTCCCTCTACTGAATGTTGATACATTCGTGCAACCTTTCATCTAGGTAGGTGAGCCAGAATCATTCATTTCCAATAGAGGCTGAATGGGTTTGGAAACCCAATTCTTATTAAAAAAAAAAGTAAAATCTGTACAATACAGACTTAGTAGTCCCAGATGGAGCTTCAGAAGTTTTGTAGCTCAGGGTCCACAGACATTTTACATCTCCACATTCCCCTGGAAAATTCACTTAGGTGGCTTGAAGTTCCATCTTCTGAATGTTGGTACATGTATCCACCCTTTCGTCTAGGTGAGACAAAATCTATCATTTCCAATAGAGGCTGAATGGGTTTGGAAACCCAATTCTTACTTAAAAATGTAAAATCTGTACAATACAGACTTAGTAGTCCCAGATGGAGCTGCAGAAGTTTCATAGCTCGGGGTCCATAGCCATCTTAAATTTCCACACTTCCCTGGAAGATTCACTTAGGTGACTGGAAATTTCCTCTTCTGAATGTTGCTACATATGTCCACCCTTTCATCTAGGTGAGACCGAATCTGTCATTTCCAATAGAGGCTGAATGGGTATGGAAATCCATTGCTTAATAATAACGTATGTTTTGTACGATACAGACTTAGTAGTCCCAGTTAGATCTGTAGAGGTTTCTAGCATAAAGCCCATAGACATTTTAAGTCTCTGCATTTTCCTGGCAGATTCCTTTACCTGGCTAAAAGTTTTCTTGTCTGAGTGTTGTAACATTTGTCAATCTTTTGGTCTAGGTGACACTGAATCTGCAATATTCTTTCAATGGTCAATGGCTTTGGAAACCAAGTGCTTAATAAGTAACATATATTCTGGACCACACAGACTTAGTAGTCCCAGATTGAGCTGTAGAAGTCACTAGCTCAGGAACCGTAGACATTTTAAATCTTTACATTCCTCTGGCAGATTCACTTAGCTGGCTAAATGTTCCCTCTAGTGAATGTTGATATATTCATGCACCATTTTGTCTAGACAAGCAAGAATGTTTCCTTTCCAATAGAGGCTGAACCGGTGTAGAAACCCAATTCTCATTATAAAACTAAATTCTGTACAATACATACTTAATAGTCCCAGATGGAGCTGTAGAAATTTCAGAACTCAGGGTCCATGGGCATAAATCTCCTCATTTCCCTGAAAAATTCACCTAGGAGGCTGGAAGTTCCAGCTTCTTAATGTTATTACATGTATCCACCCTTTCATCTAGGTGAGACAGAACCTGGCATTTCCAATAGAGGCTGAACGGGTTTGAAAACCCTATGCTTAATAAATAATGTGTAGAGGTTATTAGGTCAAGGCCCATAGACATTTTAAAACTCCTCATTCCCCTGGCAGATTCCTTTACATGGCTAAAAGTTTTCTCCTCTGAATGTTGTTACATTCATCAATCTTTTTGACACTGAATCTGCAATATTCTTTCCAGGCTCCATGGCTTTGGAAATCCAGTGTTTACTAAATAACGTATATTCTGGACCACACAGACTTAGTACTCCCAGATGGAGATGTAGAAGTTACTAACTCAGAGACGATAGACATTTTAAATCTTCGTATTCCTCTGGTGGATTCACTTAGGTCGCTAAAAGTTGTCTCTACCAAATGTTGATACATGCGTTCACCCTTTCGTCTAGGTGAGCCACAATCTTTTATTTTCCAATAGAGGCTGAACTGGTTTGTAAACCCAATTCTTATCAAAAAACGTAAATTCTGTACAATACAGACATAGTAGTCCCAGGTAGAGCTGTAGAGGTTGCTAATTCATAGACATTTTAAATCTCCGCATTCCCCTGGCAGATTCTTTCATATGGCTAAATGTTTTCTCCTCTGAATGTTGTTACATTCATCAATCTTTATGTCTAGGTGACACTGAATTTGGAATTTTCTTTAGCACTGGAAACACAGTGCTTGATAAATAACATATATTCTGGACCACACAGAGTTAGCAGTCCCATATGGAGCTGTAGAATTTACAAGCTCAGGGCCCACAGACATTTTAAATCTTCGCATTCCTCTGACTGATTCACCTAAGTGGATAAAAGTTCCCTCTACTGAATGTTGATACATTCGTGCACCCTTTTGTCTAGGCAAGTCAGAATCTTTCATTTCCAATAGAGGCTGATTAGGTTTGGAAATACAATTCTTATTAAAACTCATAAATTCTGTACCATACAGACTTAGTAGTCCCAGATAGAGCTGTAGAAGTTTTGTAGCTCAGGGCCCATAGACATTTTAAATCTCCACATTTCCCTCTAAGATTCACTTAGGTGCTGGAAGTTCCCTCTTCTGAATGTTGGTTCATATGCCCACCCTTTCATCTAGGGGAGACAGAATTTTTCATTTCCAATAGAGGCTGAACAGGTTTGGAAACCCAATGCTTAAAAAATAACCTAAATTCTGTGCAACACAGACTTAGTAGTCCCAAATAGAGCTGTAGAAGTTACTTGGTCAAAGCCCATAGACATTTTAAACTTCTGCATTCCCCTGGCAGATTACTTTACATGACTAAAAGTTATCTCATCTGAATGTTGTTACATTCGTCAACCTTTAGATGTAGTTGACACTGAATTTGTAAATTTCAATGGAGGCTGAATTGGTTTGGAAACCCAGTGCCTAATAAATGACATATATTCCGGACCACGCAGACTTAGTCGTCCCAGATGGAGCTGTAGAAGTTACTAGCTCAGGGCCTGAAGACATTTTAAATCTTCGCATTCCTCTGGCGGATTCACTTAGGTGGCTTAAAGTTCCCTCTACTGAATGTTGATACATTCGTGCAAACTTTCATCTAGGTGAGCCAGAATCATTCATGTCCAATAGAGGCTGAATGGATTTGGAAACCCAATTCTTATGAAAAAATATGAAATCTGTACAAGACACTTAGTAGTCCCAGATGGAGCATTAGAAGTTTTATAGCTCAATATCCATAGACATTTCAAATCTCCACATTCCCCTGGAAGATTCATGTAGGTGACTGGAAGTTCCCTCTTCTGAATGTTGGTACATGTGTCCACCCTTTCATGTTGGTGAGAAAGAATCTGTGATTTCCAATAGAGGCTGAACGGGTTTGGAAACCCAATGCTTAATAAATAACATCTATTTTGTACAATACAGGCTTAGTAGTCCCAGATGAAGCTGTAGAGTTTACTAACTCAAAACCCATAGACATTTTGAATCTTCACATTCTCCTGGCAGATTCCTTTATGTGGCTAAAAGTTTTCTCCTCTGAATGTTGTTATATTCATCAATCGTTTTGTCTAGGTGACACTGAATTTGGAATTTCCTTTAGCGGCTGTTTGGCTTTGGAAACCCAGCGCTTAATAAAGAACGTATATTCTGTACCTCACAGACTTAATAGTCCCAGAGGAGTTATAGAAGTTTCTAGCTCAAAGCCCATAAACATTTTAAATCTCCGCATTTTCCTGGCAGATTCTTTTACCTGCCTAAAAGTTTTCTCGTCTGAATGTTGTAACATTCATCAATATTTTGGTCTAGGTGACACTGAATCTGCAATACTCTTTTGATGGTCAATGGCTTTGCAAACCAAGTGCTTAATAAATAACGTATATTCTGGATGACACAGATTTAGTAGGCCCAGTAGCTGTAGACGTCACTAGCTCATGGCCCATAGACATTTCAAATCTTCGCATTCCTCTGCCAGATTCATTTAGGTGACTCTAGGTTCCCTCTACTGAATGTTGATACATTTATGCACCATTTCATCTAGGGAGCAAGAATCCTTCATTTCCAGTAGAGGCTGAAAGGGCTTGGAAACCCAATTCTTATTAAGAAACATAAATTCTGTACAAAACAGACTTAATAGTCCCAGATGGAGCTGTAGAAGTATCGTAGCTCAAGGTCCATAGACATTTTAAATCTCCACATTCCCCTGGAAGATTCACTTAGCTGGCTGGATGCTCCCTCTTCTGAATGTTGGCACATGTGTCCATTTATTTGGCTAGACGAGACAGGATGTTTAATTTCCAATAGAGGCCGAACCGGTTTGGAAACCCAGTGCTTAACAAATAACTTAAATTCTGTACAATACAGACTTAGTAGTCCCAGATGGAGCTGCAGAAGTTTCATAGCTCAGGGTCCATAGACATTATAAATCTTCTCATTCCCCTGGGAGATTCACTTAGGAGGCTGGAAGTTCCATCTTCTGAATGTTGGTACATGTGTCCACCCTTTTGTCTACGTGAGACAGAACCTATCATTTCCAATAGAGGCTGAACAGTTTGAAAACCCTATGCTTAATAAATAACGTTATTTTGTACAATACAGACTTAGCTTCAGATAGAGCTGTAGAGGTTACTAGGTCAAAGCCCATAGACATTGTAAAACTCCGCATTCCTCTGGCAGATTCCTTTACATGACTAAAAGTTTTCTCCTCTGAGTGTTGCTATATTCGTCAATCTTTTTGTCTAGGTGACACTGAACTTGGAATTGTCTTTAGCAGCTGATTGGCAGTGGAAACCCAGTGCTTCATAAATATCTTATATTCTGGACCACAGAGACTTAGCAGTCCCAGATGGACCTGTAGAATTTACAAGCTCAGGGCCCATAGACATTTCAAATCTTTGCATTCCTCTGGCTGATTCACCTAGGTCGCTAAAAGTTCCCTCTACTGAATGTTGATACATTAATGCACCCTTTTGTCTAGGCAAGTCAGAATCTTTCATTTCCAATAGAGGCTGAAATGGGTTTGGAAATCCAAGTTTTATTAAAACATGAAAATTCTGTGCAATAAAGATTTAGTAGTCCTAGATGGAGGTGTAGAAGTTTTGTAGCTCAGGGCCCATAGACATTTTAAATCTCTGTATTTCCCTCTAAGATTCACTTAGGTGCTGGAAGTTCCCTCCCTTGAATGTTGGTTCATGTGTCCACCCTTTCATCTAGGGGAGACAGAATTTTTCATTTCCAATAGAAGCTGAACAGGTTTGGAAACCCAATGCTTAATAAATAAGCTAAATTCTGTACAATACAGACTTAGTAGTCCCAAATAGAGCTGTAGAAGTTACTTGGTCAAAGCCCATAGACATTTTAAATCTCCGCATTCCCCTGGCAGATTCCTTTACCTGGCTAAAAGTTTTCTCATCTGAATGTTGTTACATTCGTCAACCTATATGTGTAAGTGACACTGTATTTGTAAATTTCAATGAGGCTGAATTGGTTTGGAAACCCAGTGCCTAATAAATGACATATATTCTGGACCACACAGACTTAGTAGTCCCAGATGGAGCTGTAGAAGTTACTAGCTCAGGGCCTAAAGACATTTTAAATCCTCACATTCCTCTGGTGGATTCACTTAGATGGCTCTAGGTTCCCTCTACTGAATGTTCATACATTCATGCAACCTTTCTTCTAGGTGAGCCAGAATCATTCTTTTCCAATGGAGGCTGAATGGGCTTGGAAACCCAATTCTTATTTAAAAATGTAAAATCTGTACAATAGAGACTTAGTAGTCCCAGATGCAGCTTTAGAAGTTTTGTAGCTCAATATCCATAGACATTTCAAATCTCCACATTCCCCTGGAAGATTCACATAGGTGACTGGAAGTTCCATCTTCTGAATGTTGGTACATGTGTCCACCCTTTTGTCTAGGTGAGCCAGAATCTTTCATTTCCAATAGAGGCTGAATGGGTTTGGAAAGCCAATTCTTATTTAAAAATGCAAAATCTGTACAATACAGACTTAGTAGTCCCAGATGGAGCTGTAGAAGTTTCATAGCTCAGGGTCCATAGACATTTTAAATTTCCACATTTCCCTGGAAGATTCACTTAGGTGACTGGAAATTTCCTCTTCTGAATGTTGCTACACGTGTCCACCCTTTCATCTAGGTGAGACTGAATCTGTCATCTCCAATAGAGGCTGAATGGGTATGGAAATCCATTGCTTAATAATAACATATGTTTTGCACGATACAGACTTAGTAGTCCCAGTTAGCTCTGTAGAGGTTTCTGACTTAAAGCCCATAGACATTTTAAATCTCTGCATTTTCTTGGCAGATTCCTTTATCTGGCTAAAAGTTTTCTTATCTGAATGTCGTAACATTCGTCAATCTTTTGGTCTAGGTGACACTGAATCTGCAATACTCTTTCGATGGTCAAAGGCTTTGGAGACCAAGTGCTTAATAAGTAACGTATATTCTGGACCACACAGACCTAGTAGTCCCAGATTGAGCTGTAGAAGTCACTAGCTCAGGACCCATACATATTTTAAATCTTCGCGTTCCTCTGGTGGATTTACTTAGGTGGCTAAATGTTCCCTCTAGTGAATGTTGATATATTCGTGCACCATTTCGTCTAGGCAAGCAAGAATCTTTCCTTTCCAATAGAGGCTGAATGGGTTTGTAAACCTACTTCTCATTAAAAAACTAAATTCTGTACAATACAGACTTAGTAGTCTCAGATGGAGCTGTAGAAATTTCACAGCTCAGGGTCCATAGGCATAAATCTCCTAATTTCCCTGGAAAATTTTCTTAGGTGGCTGGAAGTTCCAGCTCTTAATGTTGGTACATGTATCCACTCTTCCATCCAGGAGAGACAGAACCTGGCATTTCCAATAGAGGCTGAACGGGTTTGAAAACCCTATGCTTAATAAATAACATGTAGAGGTTACTAGATCAAAGCCCATAGACATTTTAAAACTCCTCATTCCCCTGGCAGATTCCTTTATGTGGCTAAAAGTTTTCTCCTCTGAATGTTGTTACATTCATCAATCTTTTTGTCTAGGTGACACTGAATCTGCAATATTCTTTCCAGGCTCTGTGACTTTGGAAATTCAGTGTTTACTAAATAACGTATATTCTGGACCACACAGACTTAGTACTCCCAGATGGAGCTGTAGAAGTTACTAGCTCAGGCACCATAGACATTTTAAATCTTCGCATTCCTCTGGCGGATTCACTTAGGTGGCTAAAAGTTCCCTCTAATGAATGTTGATACATGCGTGCATCCTTTTGTCTAGGCGAGCCACAATCTTTTATTTTCCAATAGAGGCTGAACTGGTTTGTAAACCCAATACTTATCAAAAAATGTAAATTATGTACAATACAGACATAGTAGTCCCAGGTAGAGCCTAGAGGTTTCTAGTTCATAGACATTTTAAATCTCTGCATTCCCCTGGCGGATTCTTCTATTTGGCTAAATGTTTTCTCCTCAGAATGTTGTTATGTTCGTCAATCTTTATGTCTAGGTGACACTGAATTTGGAATTGTCTTTCGTAGCTGATTGGCATTCAAAACCCAGTGCTTGATAAATAACGTATATTCTGGACCATACATACTTAGCAGTCCCAGATGGAACTATAGAATTTACTCGCTTGGGGCAGTAAATTTAAATTTTTGCATTTAAAACATGTAAATTCTATACAATACAGACTTAGTAGTCCCTGATGGAGCTGTAGAAGTTTTGTAGCTCAGGGCCCATAGACATTTTAAATCTCCATATTTCCCTCTAAGATTCACTTAGGTGCTGGAAGTTCCCTCTTCTCAATGTTGGTTCATGTGTCCACTTTTTCATCTAGGGGAGACAGAATTTTTCATTTCCAATAGAGGCTGAACGGGTTTGGAAACCCAATGCTTAATAGATAACTAAATTCTGTACAATACAGACATAGTAGTCCCAAATAGAGCTGTAGAAGTTACTAGGTCACAGCCCATAGACATTTTAAATTTCCGCATTCCCCTGGCAGATTACTTTACCTGGTTAAAAGTTATCTCATCTGAATGTCATTACATTCATCAACCTTTAGGTGTAGTTGACACTGAATTTGTAAATTTCAATGGAGGTTGAATTGGTTTGGAAACCCAGTGCGTAATAAATAACATATATTCTGGACCTCTCAGACTTGGTAGTCCCAGATGGAGCTGTAGAAGTTAGTAGCTCAGGGCCTAAAGACATTTTAAATCTTCACATTCCTCTGGCAGATTGACTTAGGTGGCTCTAGGTTCCCTCTACGGAATGTTGACACATTCGTGCAACCTTTCATCTAGGTGAGCCAGAATTATTCATTTCTGGACTGCACAGACCTAGTAGTCCCAGATGGAGCTATAGAAGTTACCAGCTTAGGACCCATAGACATTTTAAATCTTCGCATTCCTCTGGCAGATTCGCTTAGGTGGCTAAATGTTCCCTGTACTGAATGTTGATATATTCATGCACCATTTCATCTAGGCGAGCAAGAATCTTTCCTTTCCAACAGAGGTTGAATGGGTTTGGACACCCAATTCTCATTAAAAAACTAAATTCTGTACAATACAGACTTAGTAGTCACAGATGGAGCTGTAGAAGTTTCGTAGCTTGGTGTCCATAGACATTTTAAATCTCTGCATTTCCATGGAAGATTCACTTAGGTGACTGGAAGTTCCCTCTTCTGAATTTTGGTACATGTGTCTGTCAGACCTCTGAGCCCAAGCCTGGAGATGGCCAGAGGCAACTGAAGAACCACAAAAGAAGTGAAAATGTCCGGTTCCTTCCTTAACTGATGACATTACCTTATGAAATTCCTTCTCCTGGCTCAGAAGCTCCCCCACTGAGCACCTTGTGAGCCCTGTCCCTGCCCATGGGAGAACAACCCCTTTTGACTGTAATTTTCCATTACCTACCCAAATCCTGTAAAACTGTCCCTATATAACTTCCTTTAGTGGCTGATTGGCATTGGAAACTCAGTGCTTAATAAATAACATATATGCTGTATCACACAGACTGCCCCTATCTCCCTTTGCTGAGTCTCTTTTTGGACTCAGCCTGGCTGCACCCAGGTGATTAAAAAGCTTTATTGCTCACACAAAGCCTGTTTGGTGGTGTCTTCACACGGACGCACATGACAGTGTCCTCCCTTTTTTCTAGGTGAGACAGAATCTGTCATTTCCAATAGAGGCTGACTGCGTATGGAAACCCAATGCTTAATAAATAATGTATATTTTGTACAATACAGACTTAGTAGTCCCAGATAGAGCTGTAGGGGTTACTAGCTCAAAGCCCATAGCTGTTTGAAATCTCTGCATTACCCTGGAAGATTCCTTCACTTGGCTAAAAGTTTTCTACTCTGAATGTTGTTATATTCGACAATCTTTTTGTCTAGGTGACACCGAATTTGGAATTTCCTTTAGCAGCTGATT
Organism: Homo sapiens; assembly: GCF_000001405.40. NCBI lineage: Eukaryota > Metazoa > Chordata > Mammalia > Primates > Hominidae > Homo > Homo sapiens. The sequence continues at coordinate 54,503 of NW_003315934.1, forward strand.
GGCATTGGAAACCCAGTGCTTAATAAATAACATACATGCTGTACCACACAGACTTAGTAGTCCCAGAAGGAGCTGTAGAAGTTTCTAGCTCCAAGCCCATAGACATTTTATGTCTCTGCATTTTCCTGGCAGATTCCTTTACCTGGCTAAACATTTTCTCGTCTGAATGTTGTAACATTTGTCAATCTTTTGGTGTGGTGACACTGAAACTGTAATACATATTCAAGGGTCAGTGGCTTTGGAAACCAAGTGCTTAATAAATAACGTATATTCTGGACCTCATAGACTTAGTAGTCACAGATTGAGTTGTAGAAGTCACTAGCTCAGGACCCATAGGCATTTCAAATCTTCACATTCCTCTGGCGGATTCACATAGGTGGCTAAAGTTTCCCTCTACTGAATGTTGATATATTCCTGCACCATTTTGTCTAGGCGAGCAAGAATCTTTCCATTCCAATAGAGGCCGAACCAGTTTGGAAACGCAATTCTCATGAAAAACGTAAATTCTGTACAATACAGACTTAGTAGTCCCAGATGGAGCTGTAGAAATTTCATAGCTCAGAATCCATAGACATTATAAATCTCTTCATTCCCCTGGAAGATTCACTCAGGGGGCTGGAAGTTCCATCTTCTGAATGTTGGTACATGTGTCCACCCTTTCGGCTAGGGGAGACAACCTGTCATTTCCAATAGAGGCTGAACGGGTTTGAAAACCCTATGCTTAATAAATAACGTGTATTTTGTACAATACAGACTTAGTAATTTCAGATAGAGCTGTAGAGGTTACTAGGTCAAAGCCCATAATCACTGTCAAACTCCACATTCCCCTGGCAGATTCGTTTATGTGGCTGAAAGTTTTCTCCTCTGAATGTTGTTACATTCGTCAATCTTTTTGTCTAGGTGACACTGAATCTGCAATATACTTTCAAGGCTCCATGGCTTTGGAAATCAGTGCTTAATAAATAATATATATTCTGAATCACACAGTCTTAGTAGTCCCAGATGGAGCTGTAGAAGTTACTAGCTCAGAGACGATAGACATTTTAAATCTTTGCATTTCTCTGGCAGATTCACTTACGTGGCTAAAAGTTCTCTCCACTGAATGTTGATACATGTGTGCACCCTCTCATCTAGGCAAGCCAGAATCTTTCATTTCCAATAGAGGCTGTAATGGTTTGGAAACCCAATTCTTATCAAAAAATGTAAATTTTGTACCATACAGACTTAGTAGTCCCAGATAGAGCTGTAGAGGTTACTAGGTCATAGATATTTTAAATCTCTGTATTCCCCTGGCAGATTCCTTTACATGGCTAAAAGTTTTCTCCTCTGACTGTTGTTACATTCATCAATCTTTTTGTCTAGGTGACACTGAATTTAGAATTTCCTTTAGTGGCTGATTGGCATTGGAAACCCAGTGCTTAATAAATAACATATATTCTGGACCACACAGACTTAGCAGTCCCAGATGGAGCCGTAGAAGTTACTAGCTCAAAGCCCATAGACATTTTAAATCTCTGCATTTCCCTGGCAGTTTCTTTAATGTGGCTAAAACTTCTCATCTGAATGTTGTTATATTCGTCAATCTTTTTGTCTAGGTGACACTGAATCTGTACCTTTCAACAGAGGCCGAAAGGGTTTTGAAAACCCACGCTTAATAAATAACGTATATTCTGTACCACACAGACTTAGTAGTCCCAGATGGAGCTGTAGAATTCTCTAGCTCAAGGCCCACAGACATTTTAAATCTTCACATTCCTCTGGTGGAATCACTTAGGTGGCTAAAAGTTCCCTCTACTGAGTGTTGGTACATGTGTCCACCGTTTTGTCAAGGCGAGACAGAATCTGTAATTTCCAATAGAGGCTGAACAGGTTTGGAAACAGAATTTTTAATAAATAATGTATATTCTGTCAAACATAGACTTAGTAGTCCCAGATGGAGCTGTAGAAGTTACTAGCTGAGGGCCTGTAGATATTTTAAATTTCTAAAATTTTTAAATTTTAAATTTTAAATGCATTCCCCTGGCAAATTTTCTTAGATGGTTACAGTTTCCCTCTTCTGAATGTTGGTACATTCGTGCACCCTTTCATGTAGGTGAGACAGAATCTTTCATTTCCAATTGAGTCTGAACTGGTTTCAAAATTCAGTGCTTAATAAATAACGTATATTCTGTACTATACAAACTTAGTAGCCCCAGATCGAGCTGTAGAAGTTACTTGCTCAGGGCCTGTAGACATTTTAAATCTCTGCTTTTCCCTGGCAAATTTCTTTAGGTGGCTAAAAGTTCTTTCTTTTGAATTTTGCTACATTTGCTCACCCTTTCTTTGAGGTGAGACAAAATCTTTCATTTTCAACAGAGACTGAATGGGTTTTGAAATGCAATGCTTAATAAATAAGGTAGATTCTTTAAAATACTTACTTGGTAGTCCCAGATGGAGCTGCAGAAGTTACTAGCCCAGGGCCTGTAGACATTTTAAATCTCCACATTTCCCGGGCATATTCTCGTAAGTGGCTAAAAGTTCCCTCTTCTGAATGTTCGTACATTCGTCCACCCTTTCATCTAAGTGAGTCAGACTCTTTCATTTCAAATAGAGGCTGAACTGGTTTGGAAGCCCAATTCTTAATAAATAATGTATATTCTGTAAAATACAGACTTAGTAGTCCCAGATGGAGCTGTAGAATTTTCTAGCTCAGAGCCTATAGACATTTTTAATCTCTGCATTCCTTTGGGAAATTCCCTAGGTGGCTAAAAGTTCCCTCTTCTGAATGTTGGTACATTTGTTTACAGTTTTGTCTAGGTGAAACAAAATCTTTTATTTCCAATAGAGGCTGAAGGGGTTTGGAAACCCAATCCTTAATAAATAACGTATATTCTGTAAAATACATACTTGGTAGTCCCATATGGAACGGTTGAAGTTACTAGCTTACTGCCTATAGACATTTTAAATCTTTGCATTCTTTTGAGAAATTCCCTTACATGGCTAAAGTTTCCTCTTCTGAACGTTGTTCCATTCTTCCACCCTTTTGTCTACGTGAGACAGAATCATTTCCATTATAGGCTGAATGGGTTTATAAACACAATGATTAATAAATAACCTATATTCTCTATAATACAGATTTGATAGTTCTAGATGGATCTATAAGTGTTACTACCTTTTCGAGAGGATGTTTCTCAGGAGACCCAGAAAGCAAAAGAGATAATTAATTGTAGGTAAACAGGACAATCACAAGTGGACATTCATGCATTGTGGTGTAGAGCTGTATCCACAGGTTGGGTTGAATATGATTACATGAAGTTTCCAAGCGTTTTTGGATTTTGTATATATATCACACTGACAGAAATATACATAACAATACAGAAAGATGGGTTTCAGTTGATACACAATAGCAACAAATCTACAATGAAATAATATTTCAAGTGACTGTAACTAAAACAGAATAGGGTTAATAACAATAAAAGCGTGTTGACTTATGAACATTAAAGGTAGCACAAACACACACTGGCACTTGCCCATGTGCACTCACACTCAAACACACACACACATACAGAAAAACACACATTATCACACTGAGTCAGCTCAACCAAATAACTAATTTCCTTGAGATTCTCCAAAGAAAAATGCATCACTGTGGCTTACCCCAGTTTTATTCTTTCTGACTTGCCCATTAATTTCTTAATTAGCAGTAATCCAGTCTTATTTTTGTGGGGGCATACTGTGAACCCAGAGAAAGTAAGTCTTCCCAATTTGTCTCATCAAAATTCTGTGAATAAACTAGATATTTTTTATCTTTTTCCTTAAATTCCCTTATTTAAGAAAATGAGTTCAAATGTCCCTCTTCTTGATTCTTCACTTTCTACATTTTTACGACTATAATCAATTTAGTACAGTCTCAGTCTTAAAACTCATAAAAGAAAGATGTATTATTAGAATGTAAAAACTGATAGATACAACTTGTATAAATTATTTCTTCAGAGAAGCAGTGCCATATTCATCTTTTACCAACAAATACATTATGGTTCAGAGTTGACATTTACCCAGATACATTTAATTAACTATCTTCTCTGATGTTTTCTATATATTTTTATATATTTTGTATGATTTGCTTTAATGTTCTTAGAAATATCTGTTATGTATTTCAGTGTCTGTAAAAAATGACTGATTGGTAAATAAGATTCTTCAGGGATATATAATCTCCAAAATGCATAGAATTATGTCTAACCATTTTAAGCTTACTGTTGGCTGACCATATTGTTTGCATGTATTCTACAGAAATGGGCCTAAGATTTTTATGAAATATACCTTAATTAAAACCTGCTATAATTACCATGAGATTGTTTTTCCTCAGTGCACGAATAGCTTCAGAATTAATATGTGATGCCCTGGAGAAACCCCACACATTCTTATGAGAAATATTATCAGAAATTGAAAGTGTGTGAAAGTATGATGAGTCTGGCCGGGCGCGGTCTCTCACGCCTGTAATCCCAGCACTTTGGGAGGCCGAGGCGGGCGGATCACGAGGTCAGGAGATTGACACCATCCTGGCTAACACGGTGAAACCCCGTCTCTACTAAAAAATACAAAAAATTAGCCAGGCGTGGTGGCAGGCGCCTGTAGTCCCAGCTACTCAGGAGGCTGAGGCAGGAGAATGGCATGAACCCGGGAGGCAGAGCTTGCAGTGAGACGAGATCACGCCACTGGACTCCAGCCTGGGCGACAGAGCAAGACTTCATCTCAAAAAAAAAAAAAAAAAAAAAAAGAAAATGAGTACATACTTCTCTCGTCCTGATTCTTCACCTTCTATATTTTTTACAACCATTTCCACCACATCTGTAATCAATTTAGTACAGTCTCAGTCTTAAAACTCAAAAAAGCTGATAAAAATATAACTTTTCTAAATTATTTCTTCAGAAAAGCAGTGCCATGTTGGTCTTTTACCAACAAATGCATTATGGTTCAGAGTTGCCATTTACACAGATACATTTAATTAACTATCTTCTCTGATATTTTTTCTATATTTTTATATTTTTTAGTATGATTTACTTTAATGTTCTTAGAAATGTCTATTACATATTTTGTTTTCCGTGAGAGATGTCTGATCAATAAAAACAATTCTTCAGATATATAAACTTCAAAATGCAAAAAGTAAAGTCGGTTAACCATTTTTTATTTTTATTTTTATTTAATTAATTTATTTTTTTGAGACGGAGTCTCACTCTGTTGCCCAGGCAGTAGTGCAGTGACACGATCTCGGCTCACAGAAACCTCCGCCTCCCGGTTCAAGCGATTCTCCTGCCTCAGCTTCCCAAGTAGCTGGGACTACAGGCGCATGCCACCATGCCTGGCTAATTTTTTGTATTTTTAGTAGACACGGGGTTTTCTGTGTTAGCCAGGATGGTCTCAATCCCCTGACCTCGTGATCTGTCCGCCTTGGCCTCCAAAGTGCTGGGATTCCCGACATGAGCCACCGCGCCTGGCCTTTTTTTTTTTTTTCTTTTCTGGAGACAGGATCTCACTGTGTCACCCAGGCTGGAGGCAGTGGCACAAGCTCAACTCACTGCAACCTATGCCTTGAGGCATAGTGATCCTCATGCCTCAGCCTCCTAAGTAGTTGGGATGACAAGCATGTGCTCACCATGCCCAGATAATTTTTGTACTTTTTGTAGAGATGGTTTTTTTGCCACGTTGCCCAGGCTGGTCTCCCAACTCCTGGGCTCAAGTGATCTGCCCATCTCGGCCTCCCAAAGTGCTGGAATTACAGGTGTGAGCCACCTCACCTGGACAGTTTACCTTTACTCAACTGTATGAAAGTTGGCTGGTTCACCGGGTACAAAATGAGCCCCATAGTCCCTATTATGACCTGTGTCTCAGGTTGTGATGAGATCAAATGAGATACACATGTGAGTTCTGAAAAGAAAAATCACCAGCGTGCTACTGGTAGAAACCAGAACGCCAAATTTGGCTGAAGTCTAATAGAGGCATAGCCCTTCCTCTGCCAATGCTGGAATAGATAATGAAAGGTCTCCAGGCAGCTGGATTGAATCCCTCTGTTTTAGTGATAATTATCATCCAATTGACATTTCTTCAGGGTTCCAGTTTATTTCTTCCTCCGCTTAATAGACTCTTACCACTGAAGATTAAATTTGGAAGTTTTTTTTTCTGAAAAAGTGCCTTCTGATTTAGTTTCTATTTTATTTATTTACTTAACCTGATAAGCTAATTAACTGGTGATGTACTTTTTCCTTTTAAAAAAAATTTCTGGACAGCTTGGGTATTGATGTTCACATATAGTTAAGTGATTTCTATTCTGGGATTCTTTTATTTCTTTCAGCATTTTTAAATGGTTTCCTTCAATTGGCATTATAGAAATAATGAAAATAATAATAGCTGAAAGGGCATTGCATGAGAAGTGCAGGCTTAAGAAGATAATGAGAACATTAAAGAAATACAACTTTTACAGGCCTGCAGTGGTTGTCAAAATTATAAGAAGTTCAATAAATACCAAGATTTAATTGTTTTCATGACTGACTGATGGACAAAATGAAGGAGTGAAAGAAGTGAAAAATTGCTAAAGTGAAGCACCCTGCCTCTCCTAGCTGGGTGATATGCTATTGTCACAGTTATTTAAGGTTGTTTTGAATCACACATGAGAAATATTCAACAGAAGTTATACAGTCAACTGAGAGGTTTTGAACTGGATTCGTAACTAAGTCATAATTATTAGCTATGATTTTAAGATAGATTTAACTGAATCCTCATTAATCTATTCGGTTGAAAAATGTTATGGAGGATGTCATACCTATTGGCTATTATTTTACAATGTATTTTCTCCTCCATCACCCTGGGGATGTTTGTAGGATATTAATGGGGAAAATAGAAAATGCACATTTTTAGTGTAACCCTTTTTTATCTTTTATCTTTTTTTAAGACAAGGTCTTTATCTATCACGTAGGCTGCAGTGCAGTGGTGTGATCACAGCTCACTGCAGCATTGAAATCCCAGGCTCAAGCAATTTGAACACTTCAGGCACCCGAGTAGCTAGGACCACAGGTGCACGCCACCACATCGGGCTAAATTTTTGATTTCTAGTAGAGACGAGCTCTTGATCTGTTGCCCAGGCTGGTCTGGAACTCCGGAGCTCAAGCCTCCCAAAGTGCTGGGATTACAGGCGTTAGCCACTGTACCCAGCCTATTTTCTCTTTTTAAAAGAGCAGTTATTGGAATAATGCGGATGGTTTAGAACATGGGCTTTGGGGGATGGCTGGATGGAATGTATGTCAGCTGCTTGCTGGTTTTACCTTTGATGTTTCAGCATGAAGAGAACAACCAGAGTTTAAATAGAAAAGCTGTCAGACATTTCATCTACAGCAATGAAATCTGTAGCATACATTTTGTATTTTGAAACTTAGTTTTCAGCCAGCCTGGGGGAAGAAGAGGAAACAGAACTGAGCACTGGGGTAGGTAGGAGGAAAGTAAGAAACCGACTGGACACAGCAGGGAAAGAAGAAGGGGTGAGGACTCGAGGCAGAGCCAGTCCTCCTGCTTATGGCCTGGGCATAGAAAAGCAAACTCCAGGCAGGAGGAAGGAGCCCCAGGCTGTGGATTCCTCTGGGGGGAACCTTGGGCTGTGGATACCTCTGGGGGGAAACTTGGGTCAGCAGCAGCCAGAAGAGCTCCTGAGGCCAAGCGGTATCCTTCGCCTCCCTACCTTTGGGTGTCTTCTGGTCGCCAATGTGCTGCAAGTCAGGACCCTGGCCCACTCCTTAATCCAACTGGGCAGGCTCCAAAACAGTGAGGTCTGGTGCTACTGCCACCTCCACCTCACAGAGCTGCAGGACGGCTCTGCTCACCACACTCTGAGCTGGCCCTGCTTGGGGCTGGCATTGGGGGACAGCATGTTCTGGATGCCTCTGCTCCTCTCTGCTGGGGGCCTGTGCCTTTCCTGGCCACTGACATAGATGTCAGAGCCCCAGGACCGCTCCACAGAACCCCTGCGCTGGCACTGCCTGGGGCTGACTTTGGTGCACATGCGATATGTTAGCGTGGTCCCCAGGGGGCGCCTCTGCTCTTCTCGGGCAGCTTGGGCCTCTGCTTGCCCCTAAGTCTGCAGAGCTCGGCACCTACCGACTCCTCCTGGCAAGGCACAGCTGGCACGGGCGGCCCCTGGCCATGGGGCTGTACCCCACTTGTAGTCTGCACCCTGCCTCACCCGCCTACCCTGAGCTGACTTCTCTGCAACAGTCGGAACCTGCCTGGTTTATTTAGAACGGGCCTGGATGCAACAAACCCGAGAGCTGTGACTGCGGGAGGAGAGCGCACAGATGGAGCTCCTCCTCTTCCTTTGGTGCCCATGAACTGAAGAGCACCAACTGAGGGTACCAACTGAAGGCACTAACGGAAGGCAACCAATGAGGGCACCCGCTGAAGGCCACCAAGTGGAGACTGGTTGCCTTGCCAACCAGACCGCATTCTGGTTACAGGAAACAATCAGGCCCAGAACCATTTGCATGTGTCCCCCTAACTTGGAATTGAGAGGTCAAGCACCAGGCTCACAAGGCCCCGCCCTGCCAGCGGAACCGCCCCACCTTTCATTTATTGCTGGCTGCTAGGAGCTTTCATGTTGCTCACTGTGATGAAGTTCCTAGGGATCATCACCTTACAATGAATGATGCTAAAATTACTGAAACCAAATCTGCCTCATGTACTATCTGGGATTCATAGAATCCCCTTTCCCCCATAACCTCTGAGATTTTTACAAACTAGAAAAATGACAGATTTCTGCAGGTGCTTTCAAAAAATACATTGCCATGAGCTAAGCCTACACTATAATATCAAATCATATTTCATATATATGTATATACACACATATACATTCAATCCATACATATTCCATTTACATTTTTGAAAATAACACACGTATTCAATCAGATTAACAAGACTAATAGAGGACATTTTCTAAAATTTATATACTAAGTATATCACAGTTTTCTAGTGATCACTTTGATACAGCAACTTAGAATCTATGGCTTCAGCAAACAATGAGGCTTATGTAAGAGAAAAGCACCACATAATACAAGATTTTAAATGTGATCATCTTTTGCTACTTTTTTTTTTTTTTTGAGATGGATTCTCGCTCTGTCACCCAGGCTGGAGTGCAGTGGCAGGATCTCGCCTCACTGCAAGCTCCGCCGTCTGGGTTCACATCATTCTCCTGCCTCAGCCTCCCGAGTAGCTGGGACTACAGGCGCCCACCACCACGCCCAGCTAAGTTTTTTGTATTTTTAGTAGAGACGGGGTTTCACCTTGTTAGCCAGGATGGTCTCAATCACCTGACCTCATGATCCTCTGGCCTCTGCCACCCATCATTGCTACTTTTAACTGGCAATTACCCATTAAATGTATTGTGAACTGCTTTGTGACTATGGTGACTCATTTAATTTTTGTGATCCTTGGTTTGATTATCTCAAAAATATGATTAACACCGTTTTATAAACTTGCTCTAAAAATTAAATGAGAGAAAAATAGTCCTTCTCTACACACTGAACACTTACAAAATTACAGGCATTGTGTCCAGGTTTTTGCACACTTACCTTATCGAAACCTCATAACAACCCTGTCTTTTAAATTACAGGCATTTTGCCCACCCAAATTTTTACTCATTTACCTTACGGAAGCCTCATAAGAATCCCCTCTTTTATAGATAAGCAAAGTGAGGCTCAGAGGCGTTAAAAACACATTCACAGATCATGTCCTAATGAGTGTTGGAACTGGGATTCAAATCCAGTTCTCTCTGACACCAAAGGTGGTGCAACTTAATGAAGACCAAGTTATACCCAGCACATGGAGGGATCAAAACATGTGTATTCCCATTACCCACTTATTTGTGAATTTCAATGGCTTTCACGGCCTCAGAACAATCCTAAAATCCCTCCCAGGTTGCCTTGCAGTCATTCCCTTCTTAGAAATGACTAGGAATCTGCATATTTAGACCACAAGCATCTCCTTAGAAACAGGTTTGTTGATCAAGAAATGAAATTTTTGGCCAGGGATGGTATTTCACACCTGTAATCCCAGTACTTTGGGAAGCCAAGGTGAGCAGATCACCTCAGGTCAGGAGTTCGAGACTAGCCTGACCAACATGGTGAAACCCTGTCTCTACTAAAAAAGACAAAATTAGTCGGGCTTGGTGGTGCATGACTCTAATCCCAGCTACTCAGGAGGCTAAGGCAGGAGAATCGCTTGAACCCAGGAGGCAGAGGTTACAGTGACCTAAGATCGTGCCATTGCACTCCAGCCTGGGCAACAAGAGTGAAATTTCATCTCAAAAAAATAAATGAAATAAAAGATATGAAAATTTCTAGGCCCTAGGTTACTAACTGTGAATTGTTTAGCTTATCTGCAATAAACAAAGAGACTATTACATGTAAAACATCATAGCATCCACTGATTTTGTGCGGAAAGATTTGGAACGATGCTGCAGGAGCAACTTACTGACAGTTGGGCTGGAAGACCAGCCAAAACACGCAAAGCAGGAGCACCTCCAAAGGCCAGGTGTGGTGATTCTTGCCTGTCAGCCCAGCAATGTGGGAAGCCATGCTGGGGGGATCACATGAGGCCAGGGGTTTGAGACCAGCCTGGGCAACATGGTGAGACCCTGTCTCCACAAAAAAATTATTTTTTATGATTAGAATCAAGAAGAGTATCTCTGACACTTCTGACATTGTTTTAAAATAGAGGGCTCCTGTCCAGAACTCAAGATATGAAATTGTGAGTCCCAATGTGGCTACTTAAGTTTAAATACAAGAGGTGTCAGACATTTCCTCTACAGCAATGAAATCTGTAGCATCCATTTTGTATTCTGAAAACTTAGTTTTCAGCCAGCCTGGGGGAAGAAGAAGTGGGCCTGGAACTCGGCATTGGGGTAGGAAGGAGGAAAGAAACCTGCCAGACACAGCAGAGAAAGAAGAAGGGGTTGGGAGGCAAGGCAGAGCCAGTGCTCCTGCTTGGGACCTGGGCCTAGGAAAGCTAACTAGGGGCAGGAAGGTGGAGCCCTAGGCTGTGGATGCCTATAGGGGGGAATCTTGGGTCAGCAGCGGCCAGAGGAGCACCTGAGGCTAAGCGATATCTGTCACCTCCCTACCTTGGGGCATCTTCTGGTCGCCAATGTGCTGCCAGTCAGAACCCTTGCTGTCTCCCAAATCCAACTGGGTAGGCTCCAAATCAGTGGGGTCTGACGCTACTCCCACCTCCACCTCGTGGACCTCAGAGCGTCAGGATGGCTCTGCTCACCGCACCCGCTCTGAGCTGGCCCTGCTTGGGGCTGGCATTGGGGTCCAGCGTGTTCCGAGTGCCTCTTCTCCTCTCTGCTGGGGCCTGCGCCTTTGTCGGTGGCCCACTCAAAGATGTCAAAGCTGCAGGAGGTTCCGCAGAAACCCTGTGCCCACCGTGCCTTGGACTGGCTTCGGTGCACATGGAACAGGTCAGTGTGATTCACAAGGAGCAACTCAGCGCATCTCAGGCAGTTTGGGCCTTCGCTTGCCCCCAAGTCTACAGAGCTCAGCACCTGCCACGTCTTCCCAGCAAAGGCACAGCTGGCACAGGCAGCACCAGGCCATGAGCTGCACCCCACTAGCAGCCCCCACCCTGCCTCACCTGCCTGTAATGAGCTCACTTGTCTGCAGCAGCCATCACCCTGCCTGGTTTATTCCGAATGGGCTTGGATGCAACAAGCATGAGAGCTGTGACTGCGGGAGGAGAGAAGGTAGGTGGAGCTCCTTCTCCTCCTTCCGCGGATGCCCACCAACTGAAGACCACCAACAGAAGACCACCAGCTGAGGGTACCAACTGAGGGCACAAACTGAGGGCAACCAATGAGGGCACCCACAGAAGGCCACCAGGTGAAGGCCGACTGCCCTGTCAACCAGACCGCACCCTGGTTTAGAGGAAACAATCAGGTCCAGAATCCCCTGCATGCTTCCCCACAACATGGAATTGAGGGCTCAGGCACGTGGCTTACAAGGCCCCACCATGCCAGCGCGCCCGCCCCACCTTTCATTCATTGCTGATTGCTATGATTTTTCAGGTTTCTCACTGTGACAAAGCTCCAAGGGATCATCACCTTATAATGAACGATGCCTGAAACCAAATCTGCCTCATGCACTGTCTGGGATTCATAGAACCTGCTTTCCCCCATAACCTCTGAGATTCTTACAAACTAGAAAACAGATTTCTGCAGGTGCTTTCAGAAAAAAAAAAAACATTGCCTTGAGCTAAGCCTACTCTATAATGTCAAGTCATATTTCATATGTACACATATATATCTAAACACATATTCAATTTACATTTTTGAAAATAACACACATGTTCAACCAAATTAACAAGACTATCAGAAGAAATTTTCTAAAATGTACACACTAAGTACATCACATTTTTCTAATAATCACTTTGATAGAGCAACTTAAAATCTTTGGTTTCAAAACACCAGGAAGATTATGTAAGAGAAAACCACCACATAATACACAATTTGCAATGTGATTATCATTGCTACTTTTAACTAGAAATTACCCAGTGAATGCATTGTGAACTGCTTTGTGACTTCGGTGATCTATTTATTCTTTCTGATCACTGGTTTGTCTAATAAATATGAATATCACCAATTTTATAAACTTGCTCTAAAAATTAGATGAGAAAAAATAATCCTCCTTCTCCATATACTGAACACTTTAAAAATTATAGGTATTGTGTCCAGATTTTTACACACTTACCTTATAGAAGCCTCATAGAAACCCTCTCTTTTAAATTAGAAGAATTTGCCATGATTTTTACATTTACCTTATGGAAGCCTCATAACAATCACATCTTTTATAGATGTGAAAACTGAGGCTTTGGATGCATCTGAGGGAAACGGGCATGCAGCGGCCAGAGGAGCTCCTGAACTTAAGCGGTATCCTTCGCCTCCCTGCATTTGGGCGTCTTCTGGTGGCCAATGTGCTGTAGTCAGGAACCTCTCTGGCTCCCAAATTCGATTGGGCAGGCTCCAAAGCAGTGGGGTCTGGCGCTACTGCCACCTCCACCTCGTGGATCTCAGAGCTGCAGGATGGCTTCACCCAACTCTGAGCTGGCCCCACTAGCGGCTCGCTTTGGGGGACAGCGAGTTTCGGGCGCCTCTGCTCCTCTATAGCGCGGCCTGCGCCTTTGCTGTCTGCTCACTGGTATACGTCAGAGCCATAGACTGGCTCTGCAGAACTCTTGTGCCGGCCCTGACTGGGGATGGCTTTGGGTAACAAAGTGTTCTGGGCGCCTCTGCTCCTCTGTGCTGGGGCCTGCGCCTTTCCTGGCCACCTACTCATAGATGTCAGAGCAGCAGGACGGTTCCGCAGAAGCCCTGCACTGGCCCTGCCTGGGGCTGGCTTTGGGGCACATGTGACAGGTCAGCGTGGTCCTCATGGGGTACATTTGCTCTTCTCGGACAGCTCGGGCCTTTGCTTGCCATCACGCCTGCAGAGCTGAGCACCTGCCACCTCTCCCTGGGAAATTCAGCCAAATGTCAACATCTTAAGGCACCTACCGAAGGCTCTAACTGAAGGCCGGTTGCCCTGACAACCAGATCGCTTCCTGTTTAGGAGGAACCAGTCAGGCCTTGAGTTCCCCCCACGCGCAGCCCTTCCCTTTGTGATGTGGGAGCTCAGGCACTGGCTCACAAGGCTCCGCCCCCACAGCGGCCCCGCCTCACCTTTCATTTGTTAGTCGCTGGTAGCAACTTTCAGGTTTTCTTACTGTGAATTATGAATATGAATTATGCTGAAATTACTGTATGCCAATGTACCTCATGCACTATCTGACATTCAAAGACATCCCCTTGCCTCATCGCCTCTGACTTTTTTTGAAACTAGAACAAAGACAAATTTCGGCAGGTGCTTTCAGAAGAAAACATTGCCATGAGCTAAGATTACTCTATGATGTCAAGTCATATTTCATATATCAATACATATTCATATTCATAATCCAAAACGCATATAGTCAATCAAATTAATAAGACTAACAGAGGAAATTTTCTAAAATATATACACTAAGTACATCATATTTTTCTAATGATCACTTTGATAGAGCAACTTAGAATCTATGCTTTCCACAAATGAAGAGGCTCATGGAAGACAAAACCGACACATAATACAAGATTTTCAATGTGATCATCATTGCTACTTTTAAGTGGCAATTACCCAGTAAATATATTGTGAACTGCTTTGTGACTATGATGATTTATTTAAACATACTGGTCCTTTGATTATCTCAAAAATATGAATAATGCCAATTGTGTAAACTTATTCTAAAAATTAAGGAGAGAAAAATAATCTTCCTTCTCTATATATTGAACAAATACAAAATTAAAGGCGTTGTGTCCAGATTTTTACACACTACCTAACTGAAGCCTCATAACAACCACGTCTTTTAAATTACTGGTATTATTCCCAGATTTTTACACACTAAACTTATGCAAGCCTCATAAGAATTTAATCTTTTATAGATGAGCAAACTGAAGCTCAGAGGATTTAAAAACTCATTCACCATCATGTTGTAATGTGTGTTGGAACTGGAATTCAACTCCTGTTCTCTCTGACACCAAATGTGGTGCACCTTCACGAAGACCCAGTTATACCCGGCACATGGAGGGATCAAAACATGTGGATTCCCTTTCTCTACCCCATTATGGGTGAATTTCAATGGCTTTCACGGCCTTAGAACAATCCTAAACTCCCTCCCTGGTTGCCCGTAGTGGCCATCACTTCTTGGGCATGATTAGGAATCTGCATCTTTGGACCACAAGCATCTATAAACAGTTGTTTTCATCAATAAATAAAATTTTCTAGGCCATAGGTTACTACCTGTGAATTGTCTAGCTTATCTGCAATAAAAAAAGGGCTATTCCATGTAAAAAATATCACAGGATCCACTGAATTTGTGCAGAAAGGTTTGGAACCATACTGCAGGAGCATCTTACAGCTGTGCAGGAAGATTAGCCAAAACACACAAAGCTAGAGCACCTCCAAAGGCCAGATGCGGTGGTTCCTGCCTATCATGCCAGCAATGTGGGAGGCCAAGGTGGGTGGATCACTTGAGGCCAGGAGTCGAGACCAGCCTGGGCAACACAGTGAGACCCTGTCTCTACAAAAAATTATTTTATTATTACAATCAATATTAATAATATTTTATTATTACATTTTTTATTAATTTATTAAATTAATAATATTTTATTATTACAATCAAGAAGAATATCTCTGACCCTCTGACATTGCTTTAGGAGAGAGGGCTCTGGTCTAGAACTCAAGATATGAAATTGTGAGTCCCAGTGTGGCTCCTTAAGTTTAAATACAAGAGCTGTCAGGCATTTCCTCTACAGCAACGAAATCTGTAGCATACATTTTGTATTCTAAAAATGTAGTTTCTGGCCAGCCTGGGGGAAGAAGAAGAGGGCCCAGAAGTGGGCCTTGGGTTAGGTAGGAGGAAAGAAACCAGCTGGAAACAGCAGGGAAAAAAGAAGGGATGGGGAGGCGAGGCAGAGTCAGTGCTCCTGCTTGAGGCCTAGGCCTAGGATAGCGAACTAGGGGGAGCGGGGAGGAGCCCTAGGCTATGGATGCCTTTTCGGGGAACCCTGGGTGAGCAACTGCCAAAGGAGCTCCTAAGGCCAAGCGCTATCTGTAGTCTCCCTACCTTTTGGCGTCTTCTGGTCGCCAATGTGCTGCAAGTCATGGCTCCCAAATCAGACTAGGTAGGCTCCAAAGCAGTGGAGTCTGGCGCTACTCGCACCGCCACCTTGTGGATCTCAGAGCTTCAGGACGGCTCCAAACACCGCACCCTGAGCCAACCCAGCTTGGAGCTGGCATTGGGGGACAGCGTGTTCGGGCGCCTCTGCTCCTCTGTGCTGGGGCCTGCGCCTTTGCTGGCCGCCCACTCATAGATGTCAGAGCCGCAAGACGGCTCCGCAGAAGCCCTGCGCGGGCCCTACCTGGGGCTGGCTTTGGTGCTCATGTGACAGGCCAGCGTGTTCCCCGTGGGGCACCTCTGCTCTTCTTGGGCAGCTTGGGCCTTCCCTTGGGGCTTTGCCCCAAGCCTGCAGAGCTGAGCGCCCGCTACCTCTCCCCTGGAAAGGCAACCAAATGCCACCAACTTAAGGCACCCACTGAAGGCACTAACTGAAGGCCGGTTGCCCTGCCAACCAGATCGCGTCCTGCGTAGGAGGAACCAATCAGGCCTTGAGTTCCCTCCACGCGCCGCCCTTCCATTTGTGATGTGGGAGTCCAGGCACTGGCTCACAAGGCCCCGCCCCCACAGCAGCCCCGCCCCACCTTTCATTCATTGATAGCTTCCAGCAACTTTCAGGTTTCCTCACTGTGAATTATGAATTTGAATTATGTTAAAATTACTGCAACCCAATGTGCCTCATGAACTATCTGGCATCTAAAGGATCCTCTCTCCCCCATGGCTTGTGAGGGTTTTTGAAACTGAAAAGAGGACAGATTTCTGCAGGTGCTTTAGAAAAAAAATTGCCATGAGTTAAGTCTACTCTGTGATGTCAACATATACATATGATATATATATATGTGTGTGTATATATATATATACATGCATTCAATGATTAAATATTCAATTTATATGTTTTGGAAATAATACACATATTCATTCAAAGTAGCAAGTGTAATAGGGAAATTTCCTAAAATTCGTACACTAAGTATCACATTTTTCTAATGATTTCGTTGATAGAGCAGCTTTCCAGATGCAGCTCTTTTCACATGTTACTGGTATTTACCTTCTTTCATCAATATAATCCTCGATGTTGGACGTGGGGACTTGTGGGAGGTGTTTGGGTCATGGGGACAGATCCCTCATAACTTGGTGCTGTCCCACTGATAGTGAGGGAGTTCTCAGGAGATCTGTTGTTTAAAAGTGTGTAGCACCTCCCCCGCTTGCTCTCTTGCTCCCAGTCTCTCCGTGTGAGAAGCCTGCTCCCACTTTGCCGTCTGCCATGAATGGGAGCCTCCTGAGGCCTCCCCAAAAGGTGAGCAGTTGCCAGCACCATGCTTCCTGTAAAGCCTGCAGACCTGTGGCTGATTAAACCTTTTTTCTTTATAAATTACCCAGCCTCAGGTATTTACTTATAGCAACAGGAAAACACCCTAATGCAACACATATCTCTGGGCCCTGTATTTCTGTAAGTATAGAGCTTCAATCAGATTCAGAATTGATTTATTTGGCAAAAATAATTGAAATACGAAGCAAACATCTGCCTCAGTGAATGGCCACTATTTCTTCTACAACTACATTTATGTTCCACTTGAATTTCACTTTGTGTTATCACTTTTCTTTTCTTTCTTTCTTTTTTTTTTTTTTTTTTTTGCAGTTTCATGTTTGTTGACCACTTCCTCTTTTGATTGTTCATTTTTGTAAAATGTCATGTGAGCGTCTCACTGGGAGACAAGGAGGCAAGACAACGACATGCTTTGCTCTCTTTATAAACTCAGTAACAAATATGCAGTGATTGGCAACCTCATACTTTGAAAGAAATGATGGGTCACTGATCATGATCTCATCTGTTATTTATGTTGTGATTTGTGGACTGAAGAGCTCACACAAAGTTTGTACTTTACAAAATTACTCACAGTTAAAATACCATGGCAACTGAATTTGGAACCATGTTGGGGAACTCATGTTATTTAATTAAATCTTGGTTATCGGAACTAGGTGGAGTAGTGATGACCTGCACCTCTTTTTTCCTGATGTTTTCTTTTACATCTGCAATAAACATTTACAATTTTCCTTATATAGACTTTGAAATTGTCTATCAATTCTAAAAATATTTTAGTTTTTGTTGCTCTTGTGAATCACCCTTTATACTACATTTTATAAATGAGCTTCACTGGTATATAGTATACAGGACAGTTTTTAGTTTCTGTGATTAATAGCTTTTAATGGATTGCTTGAGTTTTAAAAAAAATTTTAAGTAGATACATCATCTGAGAATTTAAAACTCTGTCTTTTCCATTGAGATATATGTTTATCTTATTGGTTTTGCAGTTGTATGCATTGGTAGAGACTCCAGGATAATGTTGAATAATATTAATTATAATATTGACTTTAACGATGTATTAGTCATGTCTCTTATTTTCTGAATTTGATGCTTTGACATCTGGGTCTTGTTGACCCTGGAGGGACTGCCCCTCTCAGGATAAGCTAACCGCTAGACGTAATAAACAAGTTGCCTGCATGTATGCCTTTCCTATATAATCCAACCAATCCAGAGTTTATACCCCCTTCTTTATAGTCTCTTCATCACTCTTTATTTTTCTTTGTCTCTGTTTATCTCTTTTGAAGTCTTTAATCTTCTTTATCACTCTCACATTTCTGGCCACCGTTCTGCTTCTCTAATTCCCTCAGGGCCAGATAGCAGCCTCTTCTTTCCAGAAGCCAATGATGTTATTCAAACCAGCCAATGCTAAGCCTGATTGCCCTGACTTGCTTGTCCCGTCCCATGGAACTGCAATAAAGATTCTTTCCCATGTTTTCCCCCGTTCCCTCTGCCTCCTGACTGACCTTGATGTTTCCCTGTCCTGCCCCTTGTGGTGTGCTGTGCCTACAGCTTCTAGAGGACTGTGAGTAGTAAAATAAACTACTTCCCTCATGACAGTAATTTCTGTGTTTGTGTGTCTTACCATTACTGATTCAAACAAATCCTGGGTACTATGAATGTAAATGACATTTCTGTTCGTGCTTTATTGTTAAATATACCCTTTGCTGTAGGTTTTGGACACCTTTTATCAGTATAAAAACATCTTCCTCAGATACTAGCTGCTTATGAAGTTTTAAATTTTCTTTTCTTTTCTTTTTTTTTTTTCTGAGACAGAGGCACGCTCTGTTGCCCAGGCTGGAGTGCAGTGGCGCGATCTCGGCTCACTGCAAGCTCCGCCTCCCAGGTACCCACCATTCTAATGCCTCAGCCTCCCCAGTAGCTGGGACTACAGGCGTCTGCCCCCACGCCTGGCTAATTTTTTGTATTTTTAGTAGGGACGGGGTTTCACCGTGTTAGGCAGGATAGTCTCGATCTCCTGACCTCATGATCCACCTGCCTCAGCCTCCCAAAGTGCTGGGATTATAGGCGTGAGCCATCGCGCCCGGCATGAAGTTTTAAATTTTCTTAAAAAGGAGTGGTGTTGAATTTCATCAAGAGCCTTTTTGACACTTATTGAAATAATTATTTGTTTTTTCTCCTATGAATTTTACCAATAAAAATGATACTGATTGAACAATAGGTTAAAATTAAAGTTTCATCAAAGACCGCCAGGATATAATAACTGTGAAAGTCCAAATCATCATATGTAGGTTTTCATAGCAAATATCTGAGAATCTGTGCCACAACTGTTAATTCCCCTCATTTACTTTAACAGTATGAAATGATGTAAAGTGGAGAAGACTGCAGGGAGCTCTTGCCTCACACTCTCCCCTACCTTGCCTTTGACAGTCCTATGTATGGGGAGGAAAATAATGCAAACTCTTAATCCTGGGTCTAGAGGAGGACTCTTGAGGAGACCACCAAGACAACTGACCAAAAACTCCTGGAATCAATAAGCAGTTACAGCAAGGATGCAGCATACAGGGTTAATATAGAAAAGTCAATTGCAATTTCTCTTTTACACACCAGCGATAAGCAATTGGAAGTTGAAGTTAAAAAGATACCATTTATGTTCACATCCCTCCCTGCAAATGGAATATTTAGGTATAAATCTAACAAAATATATAAAAGACATATAAGGAAACCTAGAAAATTTTGATTAAAAAAATCAAAGAAGGACTAAATAAATAGAGAGGTATTCCGTGTTCACAGATAGGAAGGCCTAGCATTTGCGAAATGTCAGTTCTTCCCAACTTGCTCTGTAGATTCAATGCAATCCCTATCGATATCTCACCAATTTATCTTGTGGATATTGACAAATTGACTCCAAAGTTTATATGGAGAGGCAAAAAAAAAAAAAATAGGAAACAAGAATAGCCAACACAGTATTAGAATAAAAGAAAGTCTGGGACTAACACTACCCAATTTCAAGATTTACAAGAAATCTATAGCAATCCAGACAGTGTGGTATTGGCAAAAGAACAGAAAAATAAATCAATGGAACAGAATAGAAAGCTCCAAAATAGACTTATACAAATATTTGACAAAGGGGCAAAGGTAATAAAGGAAAGATAATCTTTTCAACAGATCGTGCTGGCACAAGTGGATATCCACATGGAAAAACAAAAACAAAGAACCTAGACACAGATCTTACATCATTCAAAAAATTTAACTCAAAATGGATAAGAGAACTAAGTAAACTATAAAACTTCTAGAAGATAACATAGAAGAAAATCTAGATGACCTTGGGTATGGCAGTGACTTTTTAGATACAACAACACCAGTGGCATCATCCATGAAAGAAATAATTGATAAGCTGGACTTCATTCAGGTTAAAAGCTCTTGTGAAGTGCACAATCAAGAGAATGAAAGGACAAGCCACAGATGGGGAAAAATACTTGCAAAAGACATATCTGATAAAATACTGTTATCCAAAATATATAAACCCTTAAAATTCAACAATAAGAAAATGAACAGTCCAATTAAAAAATTGACAAAAGATCTGAATGGACAACTCACCAAAAAAGATACAGATGGCTAATAAGCATATGAAAAAAATGCCCAACATCATATGTCATTAGGGAATAGCAAGTTAAAAATGATACCACTACATACCTATTAGAATGGCTAAAATTGAAAACACTGGCAATACCAAATGCTGAGAAGAATGTAGAGCAATAAGAACACTCATTTATTGTTGGAGGGAGAGCAAAATCGAGTAGCCACATAAGAAGATGGTTTGGCAACTTCTTACAAAATTAAACACACTTTTGTCATATGACCCCTGCAATTGCACTCCTGTTTGCCTAAGTGAGCTGGAAACTGATATTTACACAAATGTCTGCACACATTTCTAGCTGCTTTATCCATAAGTGCCAATGTTGGTGGCAAGCAACATGTCCTTCAATAGATGAATGAATAAATGAACTGTGGTTTACTCAGACAGTGGAATATTATTCAGTGATAAGAAGAAATGGGCTGGGCGCGGTGGTTCATGCCTGCAATCTCATCACTTTGGGAGCCTGGAACAGGTGGATTGCTTGCGCCTAGGGTTCAAGACCAACCTGGACAACATGATGAAACCCCATCTCTAAAAACTCATAAACTCGCCGGGCGTGGTGGTGCACCTGTAAACCCAGCTACTGGAGAGGATGAGGCCGAAGAATCGCTTGAACCCAGGAGGTGAAGTTTGTCGTGAGATGAGATTGTGCCACTGTACTCCAGCCTGGGCAACAGATCAAGACTCTGTCTCTAAAAAAGAAACAAAGGAAAGAAAACAAACAAAAAAGAAATGAGCTATGAAGCTGTGAAAAGATAAATATATGGAGTACTATGCTTTGAATATGGGTCGGCCCTTCCAAAATTCGTGTTTAGTCTTGATTCCCAATGTGGCAGTGCTGGGAGGTAGTTTAAGAGGTGATTAAATCATTAAAATGGATTAATCTCTTTCAGGGCTAGTTCTCATGGCAATGGATTAGTTACCACGAGAGTGGGTTGTCATAAGCAAGCTTGCCTCTCCTGGTTGGTCCCTCTTTTGCATGCACCCGCTTCTCATTCTGCTTATCTGCCATATTATGATGCAGTCAGTGGGCCTTCCCCAGACACTGGCACCATTCTCTTTGGACTTTACTGCCTCCAGAACCATGATCCAAAATACATCTCTTTTCTTTATGGACTACCCAATCTCAGGTATTCTGTTATGGTAACAGAAAATAGACTAAGACATGGAGGAACCATAAGTGCATATTAATAAAGAAAATAAATCAATTTGAAATGGCTACATACTGTATGTTTCCAACTATATGATATTATGGAAAAGGTATAATTATGGAAACAATAAAAAAGATCAGTGGTTGCCAGGCTTTAAAGGGGAGGGAGAGATTAATAGGCAGAACACAGGATTTTTAGGACAGTGAAACTAATCTGTATGATTCTATAATGGTGGATACATGTCATTGTACATTTCTGAAAACCCACAGATTGTGCAATCTGAAGAGTAAACCCTAAGTAAACTATGGACTTTGGATGCTAATGATGTGTCAGTGTAGGTTCATCAATTGTTACAGTGCTATTTTTGTAGAATTGTGGTAGTGGAGGAGACTGCATGTGTGAGGCAGGAGACAAATGGGAACTCCCTGTACTTTTTGCTCAGTTTTGCTGTGAATCTAATACTGCTCTAAAAAATAAAGTCTGTTTCAAAAAACAAAAACCAAAAGTGGATGGCTTTAACGTAGATTAGATTGTGCTGACGAAAGAATTGGTGAATGGGAATTAAGATCTGATGAATATACCCAGAATAGATAAAGAAATAGAAAATATACACAATTAAGAGATAAGGAAGCTAGTGTTAGAAGATCTAACATACAATTTCATTAGAGTTTCAGAAGAAGTGAATAATGAGAAGCAATGTTTGAAAACAAAATAAATTACAATTTTCCAGAATAATGAAAGGCAGATATTTGTAGATTCAGAAACCTCAATGAATTATCAGGCAAGTTAAGTAAAAAGAAATCCACAGTCCCACTGTGTGCAGCAAAGACAAAGAAAAGGTCTTAAAATCATGCAGAGGGGAAACAGAGATGAACCAATAGAAATAATAATTTGACAGGTGACTTCTCAACAGCAACAGTGAAAGGGAGAAGACAGTAGGGATAATTTCCTCAAAAAACCAAGCTTTTACTGTCAATTAAAATTTTACATTCACTGAAACCATCTTTGAAGAATGAGGGTGAAATAAAGATATCCTAGGAAAAAAAATACTCAGCTGTGTGTCAAATGCTAGACAATAATGTGTGTGTTTGTGTCTGTGTGTGTGTGTGTGTTTGAAACCAAAGTGTTCCAACATCCATGTATTTCCTGGTTTAAAGTTGTTTAACTTGAGACTTTATTGAGTATGGATATTATCATTATAGGTAGCCATTGAAAGAATAGACACAGTATATAAGTTTTCAACAAGAAGCCTAAGAAGGAGAATAAGAGAAAAATCCTAATCACATGAAGTAGACAAGAAAGGAAGAAAAAAAACCCCAGAAAAATCCAGGGTAATAGTAAGTACAAAATAAGATGTTAAAAACAAAATATATAATCACATTCACAGTGAAAACATAGTAGGCTGGGCGTTTTTGCTCATGTCTGTAATCTCAGAGCTTTGGGAGGCCAAGACAAAAGATTTGCTTGAGGCCAGGAGTTAGAGACCAGCCTAGGCAACATAGTGAGACCCCTATCTGTGTAAAAACATATTTGTATAATGATTTTTTTTTTGAAAACTAAGAAACCAACATAAAAAAACTATCATATTATTTAGTGCTATATATTTTTCTCTTGTTCAGTTTGGGCTTTTTTTCCCCATGGTTATTGGGATATAGTTTTTTCTTATTTATTGCTTTTTAGATGCTGTGAAATCTGTTTATTCCTGTTTAATCCAAGAGTTTTTATCTCTGTATTTCTTTTTCTAATCACTGTATTTCTTAATTTCTATGCAGTTGGAACCCTCTTGTCTGTATTTTTTTTTTTTTTTTTTTTGAGACAGTCTTGCTCTGTCGCCCAGGCTAGAGTGCAGTGGCGCGATCTTGGCTCACTGCAAGCTCCGCCTCCCGGGTTCACGCTATGACTAAAGAATGTGTTTGGTAAAACTCCACTGTTCAAAATGTGTTAAGGTTTCTTTGTGGCCCAACATAAAACATTTTTGGACATGTTTGGTGATTTTACATAAAAACATATATTCTGTAGTGAAAAGTTTTAATGTATCAAATTGAATGTATTGATTACATTATTCAAGTCCTTTATGAGCCTCTCTTTATTAGATGAGTTAGATTCTTTTTTTTTTTTTTTTTTTTTTTTTTGAGACTGTCTCCCTCTGTCACCCAGCCTGGAGTGCAGTGGTGCAATCTCTACTCACTGCAGTCTCCGCCTCCCAGGTTCAAGCTATTCTCCTGCCTCAGCCTCCCGAGTAGCTGGGATTACAGGCACCTGCCACCATGCCCAGCTAATTTTTTTGTACTTTTGGTAAGACGGGGTTTCACCATGTGGGCCAGGCTGGTCTCAAACCCCTGACCTCAGGTGATCTGCCTGCCTTGGCCTCCCAAAATGCTGGGATTACAGAGATAAGTTAGGTTCTTAAGAGATGTGTATTAAAAGCTCCTACTTTAATTATATTTTTATCCAAGTTTTTTTTCTAATTGTTTAAAATGTACACATTTTACTGTGTATTATTGGTACATACAGATTTTTTACTTATATTTTCTTCAAAAAATAGCTTTTATCTTAACAATGATTCTATTTATTCTGATTTATACTTATAACTATTGATTTCAATTCACCTGACATTAATATTGCCATTCGTGCTTTCTTTTTGTTGAGTTTGCTTTGTTCTCACCTTTTTTTTACCTTTATCTACCTATCTTTATTTGTTTTAAAGTGTTCTTCTTATAAAAACAAACATGGTATAAACATATTCTGATTAATGTGATAGTTTCCGTCCTAATAGAAGTACGCAGACTGATCACATTTATTATAACAATTGATATATGTGATTTATTCCTTCTGTCTTACATTGTGCTTCATCTTTATTTTACTGTTGGCCTCCCCTAGACTTTCTTATCTTTTTCTGATTTGAAATCCACTCTTTTCCCCGATACCCCACACTGCTGTTGATTTGGAAACTTGACTGAAAAACAATTCTACAATTCCATTCATAGTTATCTTCTTTATTTGCCACTTTCATGGGAAAACAAGTTTTTCGATTTTTTCCTCACTAAGATTCTATTTGTCCATTGCTTTCCCCTTCATCCCAATAGATGAGACCTTTAGAATGTTTTTATGTTTTGCATCTAGTTACGTAGCTGCTAGATTTTGCTGAGATAGTTTAATATTTTGAACTTCAGATTATTAGTTTTTCCCTTGAAGTGTATCTGTTCTGTTTAAAGTGTCTTTGCCTTTGACACTCCCCCATTTCTCTGCTCACCACCACCCTTTTTTCATGGTTCCATCTTCAAGTCCCTGTCTTGATTATTTTCTTAAGTGTTTTGCCCAAACAGGATGGATAGGTGATATATTCTCTGAATCTTTGCATAACTGTTAGTACAGTTTTTATTTTGCTCCAACAGTTGATTGATATTCATTTGCATGTAACATATCATCATGCCTCTTTATCTACCGCCTGAGCCATATTCTCCAGGCTAGCTTTTATCCGTAGTAAGCTGATATTTTAATCTCTGTCTATCTACTGCGTGGTCTCTTATTCTGAATTTCGACTGAAGAGAAAAAGGAACATGGTTGCTTTTTTTTTAATGCAGCAATAAAGAATAAATAGAAAAATTTGCAATGTTTATAATTGCTTAAATTGAAATATCATATGTATATATATGAATAAGCAAGAATAATATTCTGAGTACATTAGTATTATATTGAACGTTAAATACTGATTGATCCAACTACTAGTCATTGAGCTCCTGGAAGCCAGGGACAACATTTTAAACATTTCTGTGTCTCTAATGTATTTGCTGGAAGACAAAATATATTTCTCTTCCTACCCTTCCTCTCCCCCAACTCCTCCAATCTAAAATTGACCCTGTTTTCAGTACAACAAGATTCCAGATGGAAGTCAAGGTATATAGTGATTTTATTAACCCCGGTAGCAAAAATATTGTTTCAATAAAGATAAAAATTTTACATTCCATCTATGGTTTCCTTAATTTAAAAATATATTGGTAATACAGTTATATAGTTCAAAATCAAAGTGATATAAAATGATATTCATTAAGCCATCTTGCTCCCACCCTTGTCTCTATCAGGTTTGTACCTGTTTTTCCCTGCAGAGTTCATGCATTCAACAAATATTTATTAAATATTTATTGAGTACTTAGGTGCTCATTGTGTGCCAGACACTGTTCTAAGTGCTAAGGGCACAGCAATGGAAACAACAACAACAACAAAAAAAAACCAGGAAAAATAATTGTGGCCGCAAGATGCTTACGTCTAGTAGGAGAGACAAATTAACAAAACAAATAAGTTATATCGAATATTAGGAGATAAGTGCTGCAAAGGAAAAGAAAACAGGTGTGCACCACCGTGCCTGGCTATTTTATTATTATTGTTTTTTTAGAGATGAGGTCCTGCTACGCTGCCCAGCCTGGTCTCAAACTCCTGGGATCCAGCGATCCTCCCCTCTTTGCCTCCCAAAGTACTGAGATTACAGGCATGAACCATGTGCCCAGCCAATATATATATTTTTTCTTTTGAGACAAGGTCTGGCTCTGTCGCCCAGGCTGGAGTCCAGCGGCTCACTGCAACCTCCGCCTCCTAGGCTCAAGGGATCCTCCCACTTCAGCCTCCTGAGTAGCTAGGACTACTGGTGCATGTCACCACACTTGGCTTAGTTTTGAATTTTGTTTTGTAGAAACAGGGTTTTGCCACATTACCCAGGCTGGTCTCAAACTCCTGGGCTCAAGAGATCCAGCCACCTTGGCCTCCCAAAGTGCTGGGATTACAGGCGAGAGCCACCATACTGGGCCAAGATTTTTTTTAATTGGTTAAAACAAAGGTTTGGTATTGCCTAAAATAACTAAACAAGGTGGTATTTTATACACAGTTTAGTCAAACTGAGTATTTTCTGTCTTCCTTTCAAACACTGATTCAATGTGATTTTTGAGTGTGTTTTTCTCATTATTTGTCTTGCGAAAGAATTTCCTCCTTATTTGAAGAAAAGATATAGTTTGAGGAGACAGTAGTGGCGCTTCGGCCGCGCCCAGGGCCGCGGTTCGCTCTTCCCCGCGTGCGACCAGGCTGCCAGCACTGGGGACCTCTGGCGCCCGCCCGTCCGCAGCCAGCGGGGACAGCGGCCGCTCTGGGGAGGCGGCGGGGCAGGGGCGAGGGGAGGCCCAGCCCGGGGTCCGCCGAGCGTGACCTTCCCCGGGGCGAACCTCCTATCCCCACCCCTTCCCGGAATCCGTGCAGGGGCACTGGCCACGCCTGCAATCATAGCAAAAATGTCCCAGTGGGGACCATTCAGTAGCAAGAAATAGCACGGCGCGCCACCCTTACAGTCACTAACTCTTTTGTTCTCCGTGTTTAGGTAGAAACATGACTCAGAGAATCGGGTTCCCGCTCTGCAGCCTAAGCCAGAGGCGATGGTTTCCGCTTCTGCTTCTCTTGGCAGTGACCTGCCTTGACTTGGTCTGCTGCCTTTTGCAATCTGCTCTTGAAGGAAGGGCCAGCCTCTCGCATCTTCCTAGGAACAAGTCCGACCACGATCAGGGCTATTGTGAAATTAGCTAAATTAGTCCGTTCTCTCGACTTTTGGACTCTCTCCTCTGAATGCCTTATAGGTATAGTTTGGCAATCTCGCTCACACCTGGGTGTGAACCTGCGTGTACCCAGCCCGGGAGATATCGGGGTCTGTACAGGATTGGTACCCCTTATGGGTTAGAGAGACCTTCTTTCCTTAGCTCCAAGGCCAGATCTACGGGTGCTGTTCCGGTGCTGAGAGACAGCGTGTTTCTAACAGAAAATAAGTGATATAATTAAGGACTCAGCGCATGCACTCAAACACACAGAGCCAGTGAGATAATGGGTAAGCATTAGAGATACAGAAATGCAATTTAGTCCTCAAAAAATTCACTCTAATGAGGAAACAGACCAGCAAGTACGTAACTGCAGTTCTCTGATTCATGTATTTTCTTATTCTTCTTGCATTAAAGAATGCGATAGCCTCATAGCTGGGTACATTAATTTCATATTTAATCGTGTGGGTTTTTTTATGGAATGAAGACATCATAGACCATGTAAAGACATCTGAGAAAATAAGCCAGTTTGATGGTGTTTTTTGCATCTTGAAGAATAGTATGTAAAAATATGCAAAGTGCTTTACAAGCAAAGATTGTTAATAAGTACCTGTAGCTTACCTGGTTTAGATTAGGTTTATATGTTAAGAAACATCCAACAGGTATAATTTGCCAAGTAGAGTGTAGCAATAAGCACTCAGATTGTACTTGACAATCCTATGACTAAGACATTATCATTTGTCCTTTTTTTATTTTTTAAAGATAAGGAAACACATAGAGGAAATACCATATTGTCAAATAAGTATCACACTCAAGCTCACACAGTTGGCAAGTATGGCACTACACAATTTTGTCAGGCCATTTTCATATAGAGATTGCTTGGCCACATTAAAACAGAAAATGTTGCTTTTAAAATGATGCTGTAGGCCAGGTGGGGTGGCTCACGCCTGTTATCCCAGCACTTTGGGAGGCCGAGAGGGGTGGATCACTTTAGGTCAGGAGTTCCAGACAAGCCTGGCCAACATGGTGAAACCTCTACTAAACCTCTACCAAAAATACAAAAATTAGCTGGGCATGGTGGTGCATGTCTGTATTCCCAGCTATTTGGGAAGCTGAAGCAAGAGAATTGCTTGAACCCAGGAGGCAGAGGTTGCAGTGAGCCGAGATTGCGCCACTGCACTCTAGTCTAGGTGACAAAACGAGATTCTGTCTTTAATAAATAAATAAATAAAAAGGTGCTGTAGTATTGCAAGGCTAAGTAGGGTCAGCAGATGAAGTTCCTCAAGACTTTCAACATTACTGTATAGCTAAACTCTTGAGAAAAAACAGTAACCTACCAATTGGACATATGGAATTCACAAGTAGTTCTTTTGACACAACTAGGCCAAGCATGAGTTGAGGAAGTTAAAAACATTATGTGAATTGTGCAGGTAACTGCTAAAGAACAGACTTCTCTTATGCAGTCTGAAAACAACTTTAGTCTATTTTGCTGCCCTTAGACAAATGAAAAGAGCCAGTACAGATGTATAAAAATGGCCTATGTGTAACTGAAAGTGATCAAGGTTGTCGTTTTGATGTTGGAGTGTTAGCTACCCTCGAAGACATTTTCTTGCCGTATTGATGGTAGTATTTAAAACATAATATCTACAATAGTACCAGGTTTTATAGCCAAAGAAATTGTAAATATAATACCAGGCCAGGCACAGTGGGTCATACCTGTAATCCAAGAACCTTGGGAGACCGAGGTGGGAGGATCGCTTGAGGCCAGGATGTCGAGACCAGCCTAGGCAACATAAGCAAGACCCTGTCTCTACAAAATAAAATTAGCCAGGTGTGGTGGTGTGTACCTGTAGCCCTAGCTACTCAGGAGGCTGAGGCGGGGAAGGTTGCTTGAGCCCAGAAGTTCGAGAGTTCGAGGCTGCAGTGAGTTGTGATCGTGCCACTGCAGTCCAGCCTGGATGAAAGAGTGAGGCACTGTCTGTCTCCAAATAAATAAATAAATAATCCTATGCATTACTGCGTCTTGGTTCACAGTACTGTGTAAAACGTCTCATCCTGACGTTACTAGATAAATGATCAATAAATTATCCGAATTATCTTACTCTGGTAAGAACATTTATTGAGAGAATAGGTTCAAACATTTGCAGTGAAAGGTTAGAAGTTTTTGTGGATTTCATAGTCTTATGCAAAACTGAATTCTAAAGAATTTAATGTTGCCAGTACTGATCTTCCTGAGATTTCTCTGGGGTTTTTAGTCAATGACTTCTTAGCTTGTTAAAGCATCACATAGGTGAGGGTTGAATATGCCTGAAATAGCCTTTTTTGTTCCATGGCTGGTGAACACACGTATTGCCCAAGCAGCTATCTTGCCAGAATATGCATCAAGTGGTACAAAATGATAACCACTAATGGAACGTGATATGCTGCCCCTGCCATACCAATGTTAGAACATTATAAAGGATATTGCGTTAATTATATAATCTAGTTAATTCCACACAGAGGCTCTCCTACAAAAGAAGAAAACATACTGTTGATCTTCCACTTATAATCATATTGTCTGGTTTTCTGGTATGAATGTTAAAATCTGCCATTTTTTGATTGAGTACACATTTATTCCCCCAGGATGCTACCTTATAATACATCATGGTCTTAAGGGAACATATAAAGGGCTAAATGTGGCCATATGGCCCATATTAGCCTGTTTTTATTACTCATTTGAGGAAGATAGAAAATTGCTGTTGTAACTGATATTTAGTTCACTTAAGCCTGGATGGAATAAATTGGCGTTACTCCAGACAGTGGAGCAAATTGTCATAATGCTACCTTTCTCCACTGATTTGAAATGTCATTTTCACTATATAGGAAATTCTTTATAGCTTCGGGTTGTTTCTGTGCTTTTTATTGAGCTCCATTGATCTTTGCGTCTATTGCATCTATTTTTAGGATAGCAATATTTTTAGTTACTGCAGTCTTATAATTTTTAATATAAGCAAACTTGTTTCTCTTACTTAAAAAAATGTTATCTGTTCATTTTTGCAGATTTGCACATTAAGATTGTCTATTTCTTCAAAAAAATCCTGTTAGGATGTTAATTTGATTCCTATTATGTTTATTAAATAATTTGGTGACACATTTTAACAATAAATCTCTATCCAGAAACAGGGCTTTTTTGTCCCTTAGTCTTATAGTTGTATTAATACACCTACCCTCTTCTATTTGGTTATTGTTTTAATTGCTTTGGATTGGAAAAACAGATTAAGAGTTTAGATATTGTATATAAAATAAGACTAAATATGTTCTGAGAATCTAAAACGTGGTCAAAGCTTTCTTTTCCTCTACAGCTTTTAAAATGCGGTACATGTGTTTTAGTGTATGGACATTATGAGACATAGTTTGTCTCTGCAGAGGCAATTTCTAAACTTTTAGCTTTGCGGTGGGGCATCTATCAAATGTGGGATCTACAGCAGTTTTGTGCAGCTAGTAAGCCATGTATTGCCTGGTCTTAAAGTTATTTATGTCTCTTGTATATCTGTTTCCTTTAGCTAATTGTGTTTCCAAAGGGCAGAACGCATGTGATTATGTGCCTAATGGATTTTGGTTCCATTGAATTAACTAGTACTATACTTGTAATTCTGTAATGCAGCTCACCTCCATTTAAAAATATGTATTTTTATTTATAAATATGTTGCAATTTAATTTGCCTTCCATGAGTGAAGATCTTTGAAGACAGGGTATGTGTCTTCCTGTTTTAAACTTTTTCCATTTCCTAACCTCTTGAACAGTTCCATGTACTGTCCTAAATGAATGTTGGCTAGATCGTGTTGAAATGGCAAAGTAGCCTTTAAATAACAAAGCATGAAGAAAATAGTGACTTGAGTTTCTGGAAGAACCATAGCCTTTCTAAGGGATGTTAGTGCTGTATATGCAACAAATGAGAACATTAAGAAGGCTGTTTTGTTTTATCAGCTATGTTGCCTGTTGATCCTGTGAAAGAAAATTTTATGTTCTTAAAGGGAAAACTTTTTTCAATTGCCTTCCCAACTCCTTTCAAATCAAGAGTACCTCTTGTAGCAGTTTCAAAGGTTAGCCATTATTTTTTCACAACACAAATACTAAACTCACTAAAACATTTGTTTAAAATAATTTTTAGAGTTAATATTATTAGTCTAATTATAAATGACTATCTGTGTTTAAATTTCAAATACTTGGAGATGTCATTCTTAGAAATCACACTCTGATAGTTTCATCTTAACATTGTCTTACAAGGAAAATATGCTTTTGTGAAAAAGAGGAAAATGAATTAAATTGTTATCTTAGATATCCTTTATCTAATGGTCTCTAACAAATTCTACATTGTTCTCTCATGATATAAATGAATTTGGGCTAAAAATAAGATGTTTACTTTTTTCTAGTTCCTTAAATGAATTTGTCCTAGGAAAAATATTATTTTACCATGCATCATAAGAAACTAATAAAATTTTTAGAACTATCTAATAGAACTAATTTTTCCTAAATAGCATAAATAATCATGGAATGTATGGTACATCTCTTATGAAAAAATATTAATATTTTCAGAAGAGGTTTATTTTTTGAATTTTCTTCCATTAACTGTCTATTCTTTCTTTTGTTTGTTTGTTTGAGACGGAGTCTCGCTGTGTTGCCCAGGCTGGAATGCAGTGGCACGATCTCCACTCACTGCAAGCTCCGCCTCGAGGGTTCACGCCATCCTGCAGCCTCAGCCTCCGGAGTAGCTGGGACTACAGGCACCTGCCAACACTCCCGGCTAATTTTTTTTTTTGTATTTTTAGTAGAGACTGGGTTTCACCGTGTTAGCCAGGACGGTCTCGGTCTTCTGACCTCGTGATCTGCCCGCCTAGGCCTTCCAAAGTACTAGGATTAAAAGCGTGAGCCACCGCGCCCGGCCATTAAATCTGCATTCTTAAAAATTATTAGGCTGAGCGCAGTAGCTCACTACTGTAATCATAGCATTTTGGGAGGCCGAAGCGGGAGTATCACTTGAGCCCAGGAGTTTAAGGCTGCAGTGAGCCATGATTGTTTCTCTGCACTCCAGTCTGGGTGACAGAGTGAGCCTGTGTCTCAGAAAATAAACAACTACAACAACAACAACAACAACAAAAACAACAAAAACTGAAAGATGACGTCGGTTTGTAAATTTGTTTTCCCTGCCTCAGGAAGTTCTAGAAGATATTTTGGACCTTGATTTATCTGTCTCAGAAACAGACGATTTTATCCAGCTTGTAAGTGGCGAAAAGACAGTGTTTGGATCCATTCCACTGGCTCATCCATATGGGGGCCAGCAGGTAAGAGTAGCAACAGCACCACTTCCCTTATGCAAATAGAATTATTTGATGGAAATGCTGTCCTACTAAGGAAATTATTGTGCATTAATTTTTAAAATAGTGCATTGGGAGTTCAGCAAGATGTACCTAAAGGAGTATGTCATCAGATGATGTTTATAGGTTAGCTGATGTGATTTCTTGCTGTGCTAAAGCTAGAGCCTAATTCTTTGAATGGAACTGAGAATACTGGGGCAGCATAGATAAAAAATTTCTGTGGATTATTACTAGAGAACTCATTCAGTGCACTTTTGGCAAGACATTTTGGCAAAATGAAGCAGTACAATGTGTCAGTATAAAAGGACAAATAAGCCGGGTACAGTGGCTCATGCCTATAATCCCAGCACTTTGGGAGGCCGAGGCAGGCAGATCGCTTGAGCCTAGGAGTTCAAGACCAGCCTGCGTAACATGACGAAACCCTGGCTCTACAAAAATTAGCCGAGCATGGTGATGCGTGCCTGTGGACCCAGCTATTTGGGTGGCTAAAGTGGGAGGATCGCTTGGGTCTGGGAGGCAGAGGTTGCAGTGAGCCAAAGCTGTGACACTGCACTGCAGCCTGGGTGACAGAGTGAGATCCTGTCTCAAAAAATAAACAAACAAAAGGGATAAAAAGAAGGACAAATATATAATGTATATAATATAATCTATAAATAGATTATAATTATATCAAGATAGCCATAGAACAAAGTTGTACAACTACTAGAATGGGAGTAAATCAAGATTCCTTGGGGGTGTTATTTGTGCTGCAGAAATCAGGAAGCAATTAAGGAATATTCTGGAAATAAAGCGAGACGTTGAAACAAGTTCAGGGTATGGTATCTGACTAATTGAAAAAAGAAACAGGAACATAGGACCAATTGTTGAATTTCTGTGACTTTCCTGTAAGCTAGATAAGATTAACACTCTCTGGTCGTTTGGGGGTTTTTTTGGTAATGCTGGTTTGCTCAGGAACTATTTCTAAGATAAATAGTAAAGTATCATAGGGTTGGTGTAAGATTAAATTAGGAAATATATGAAAAGTGCTTAACATGTTAACTATTACAATTATTATAACATCAGGTTCTGGCTTGCTGGGTTAGTTATTTCCTTTCTTCTTCAAGTTCCTGTAGGCTAAGAGGCAAAGTAATACAAGCCATTAGGAGGACTTTAAGGGTCACCTGTGACAAACTTGAAGCACAATTTCTTTTTCTTTTCAACTTATAAGTTCAGGGGTATGTGTGCAGTATGTGCAGGTTTGTTTAAACGTGTGCCTTGGTAGTTTACCACACAGATCACACCATCACCCAGTTATTTATTTATTTATTTATTTATTTATTTATTTATTTATTTATTTTTGAGATGGAGCCTTGCTCTGTTACCCAAGCTGGAGTGCAGTGGCACGATCTCAGCTCACTGCAACCTCCGTCTCTTGGGTTCAAGCAATTCTCCTGCCTCAGCCTCTCAAGTAGCTGGGATTACAGGCGTGTGCCACCACGCCTGCCTTTTTTTTTTTTTTTTAATTTTTAGTACAGATGGGGTTTCACCATGTTTGTCAGACTGGTATCTAACTCCTGATCTCAAGTGATCTGCCCACCTCAGCCTCCCAAAGTTCTAGGATTACAGGCGTGAGCCATCATGCCCATCACCCAGTTATTAAGCCCAGCATCCATTAGCTATTCTTGCTGATGCTCTCCTACCCCTTAACCCCCTACAGGTGCCCAGTGTGTGTTGTTCCCCCTGGCGTGTCCATGTGTTCTCAGTCAGCTCCAACTTATAAATGAGAAGATGCAGTGTTTGGTTTTCTGTTCCTGTGTTAGTTTGCTGAAGGTAATGGCTTCCAGCTCTATCCATGTCCCTGTAAAGGACATATGTTATTCCTTTCTATGGCTGCACAGTATTGCATGGTGTGTATATACCACATTTTCTTTACTCAGTCTATGATTGATAGGTATTTAGGTTGATTCCATGACTTTCTATTGTAAAGAGTGCTGCGGTGAACGCACACATCTATGTATCTTTACAATGGAATGATTTATATCACCCTGGGTATATACCCAGTAATGGGATTCCTGGATCAAATGGTATTTCTACCTCTGGATCTTTAAGGAATCACCACACTGCCTTCCACAATGGTTGAGCTATTGACACTTTCACCAGCAGTGTAAAAGTGTTCCTTTTTCTCCACAACCTTGCCAGCATCTGTTGTTTTTTGACTGTTTAGTAATAGGCATTCTGATTGGCATGAGATGGTATCTCCTTGTGGTTTTGATTTGCATTTCTCTAATGATCAGTGATGTTGAGCTCTTTTTCATGTTTGTTGGCTGCATGTGTGTCTTCTTTTGAGGAGTGTTGGTTCATATCCTTTGCCCACTTTTTAATGGGATGTTTTGTTTTTTTTCTTGTAAATTTCTTAAGTTCTTTATAGATTCTGGATATTAGACCTTTGTCAGATGGAAAGATTGCAAAAATTTTCTCTCCTTCTGTAGGTTGTCTCTTCACTCTAATGATGACTTCTTTTGCTGCACAGAAGCTCTTTTGTTTAATTAGATCCCATTTGTCAATTTTTGCTTTTGTTGAAATTGCTTTTGGCAATTTTTTCATGAAGTCTTTGCCCATGACTATGTCCTAAATGGTATTGCCTATATTTTCTTCTAGGTGAACCTCAATTTTTTTATCTGTAATGTGAGAGGGCTGATCCAGGTCATTCCAGTTGTGAGAAGTGCTATGGTGAAGACATTGGCTTAATTTTATTTAATGCACCAATTTCCAAATAGTTGACTGCAGTGTTTTGTTGTTTTGTTTAAGTCATTACTATTAACATTTTGCTGAACTGTTTCTCTGTTTAGAAACTTCTGAACTAAATGACCCTTTTGGTCTTTTCTAGTGCCCAAATGCAGGGATTCCACGGTTCAAAAAGCCATCTCCCATCTGGATTAAATGTATTTGAAAGCATCTTATGCTGGTACTCACATGCACCATTGAAGTACAAATACAAGCCTTAAGCCCTGCAGAGTTTTGTTAAGCTATTCTTTTTTTGTAGGTGTGTGTTTTTTTTTAGTACATTATATAAAAGCTCTTAATCAGTTTCACTTTTGTGCTTCTTCTTGATCTGAAATTGTGTTATAAATATTTATTTGTAAGGATGACTTTGCCATTTTAAATGAACAGTGCAGAAAATGGTTTCTCTTTTATTGGTGGAAAACTAGCTTTCTGATTCCCCTGATTCACTTCTAGCTCTGCAAGTATCATTCTTTCTACTTCCTTTTCACATTGTGGAATATACTTAAGGTATTGTGGACTTTAGAACTTTCCAGAGCAACTCTCAGTCTTGTGTTCTTGCACTTATTCCATGGATAAAATTAATTACTGGTGGTCTGTTACTGATTAAAATGAAAAGTTAAAATACTGGATAGATTTATCTTAATTTATTGTTTTTCTTCCAGAAATTAGACATCTTCTGCATCATGGATAAGCTCATTGAGATCTATGACTTTGCCTAATAATTATAATAAAATTATTCTAAGCCTGCATCTCCAACCAGATTTCTATCTCCAGCTAGAAATGCCTATAATCCAATTACCTACTGAAAATATCCCACATGATTGTTTCACTGAACTCAACATGTAAAGAAAACTGCTGGTCTGTCCCATGACTGTTTGCACTTCGCTGCTGACCTGACAATTTCCTACTCCTTCCCCATGAGCATTGTAAATGTTCATGCACAATCTGGAAACGTATGAATGACCTGAGATTTTCTCTGTCCCCTAGCTTTTTAAATTCAATAATCACTAAGCCATATTAACTGTACCTCTTTTCTGCCTTTACTTTATGTTTCCATTGCCACTGGAATACAAACTTATTTATTTTATATTTTTATTTCCTGGTTAAACACGGCCCCTTAACTGATGGCTTTTATAGGGAAAAGGAAACCCTACCAAATACTATTGTTATATTTTAAGTTAAAAAATTCAGTAAAACAAATCAAAATAAAATAATGGCAAAGAAAGACCTACATGTTTAAATGTGTAAATTGAACTTCTGAACTTGATTCATTTTACCTTGGATGGGTCAAACTTTCATAATAGATTGATACTAGGCCACAGATTGGTGACAAAAAAAAAAAAAAAAGACTATAGCATGAACTACTACAAAAGCTTCCTTTGTCTTTAAATCTTTTTTTTTTTTCTTTGAGACAGAGCCTCACTCTGTGGCCCAGGCTGGAGTGCAGTGGCACGATCTCGACTCACTGCAAACTCTGCCTCCTGGGTTCATGCCGTTCTCCTGCCTCAGCCTCCCAAGTAGCTGGGACTACAGATACCCGCCACCATGCCCAGCTAATTTTTTTGTATTTTTAGTAGAGACGGGGTTTCACTGTGTTAGCCAGGATGTTCTCGATCTCCTGACCTCATGATCCGCCCGCCTCGGCCCCCAGAGTGCTGGGATTTCAGGCGTGAGCCACCACTCCAAGACTGTCTTTAAATCTTTTTATGTGATACTCTCCATCTATCTTCTATATGACGGACCAGCAAACTGGAGGCCACAGGCCAAATTCAGCTTATGAAATTTTTCTATACAAAGTTTTATTGCAGTGCAATCATGCAGGTCTTTGCTCACACGTTATCTATGACTGCTCTCACCCTACAATGCAGGGTTGAATAGCTGTGATAGAGACCACATGGCCTACCATATTTCCTATCTGGTGCTTTACAGGAAAAGTTTGCCAATCTCTGCTTTATACCATGACCAGAATGCCCTGATACTCAAATCTAATCTTGTGACTCCCCTTCTCAAACTTCTCCAATGAATCCCTGCAGAAAACATTGTTGACTTCCTATGCATAGCCATTATTTATTCTTTCTTGCTGCAGAAACACAAGTTTATTTAGATATTTATTATTCCATTACCCCCACCCCATCTCCAATTATTCTAAGCTAATCACAGTAATTACATTTGGTTTCCTAGTGACTGGTTTTGAAAGGAGCATGTGGTATAATCCAGCCAATAAAATGTTACAGGAAGATTACTGCAAGCTTACAAGTTTTCTCCCTATTTAAAAGAAACAGGTGAACAAAAGCAGCCCTTCCAGCCTTCAAATATTGTCTTGAGAGAGCATGATGATTGGAGCTGTTGCTAATTAGTCACCAAAAGTGGAATCCTGGCCAGGCACAGTGGCTCACGCCTGTAATCCCAGCACTTTTGGAGGCCGAGGTGGGTGGATCACAAGGTCAGGAGTTCGACTCTGGCCAACATAGTGAAACCCTGTAAAAATATAAAATATTAGCCAAGGGTGGTGGTGGGCGCCTGTAATCCTAGCTCCTCGGGAGACTGAAGCAGGAGAATTGTGTGAACCCGGGAGACAGAGGTTGCAGTGAGCTGAGATTGCACCATTGCACTCCAGCCCAGGTGACAGTGAGAGACTCTGTCTCAAAAAAAAAAAAAAAAAAAAAAAAATAGCAGAATCCTATGATATCCCTGGACCACCAAAACAAATTTGGTTCCTATGTTTTTAGCCATTGTTTGTTCATCTAGTATTTACAGCCAGAATTATTGTAAGAATTTTTCCGGGGCCTACAGAATAAGATCTACTCGTTCCTATACTATTAAAAAGTGTTGCCTAAGCTTGCCTTATCTACATATTCAAGTCATTCCCAACTACTCCCATATCACACTATTTCCGCTTGGAAACCCAAAGTGCCAATAAACCCTACAAAATTCACTCACGCATCTTACCATTTGTATTTGCTTTTGTAGATGTTTCTTTTCTAGGATATGCGATAATCTCAGATGTTCCCTCTACGAAGGGTGTAGCCTCGTTGGGTGTTCTTTTCGCCAAGCGTGCAGCCTCATCAGGCGCTCCCTCCACCAAGTGTTCAGCCTACTCAGGCTTCTTTCCGCCAAGGGTTCAGACTCGTCAGGCGTTCCTTCAGATGTTCCTTCTGCCAAACACACAACGTGGTTAAATTTTCCTTCTGCTAAATATCATCCTTCTGACTCTTTATCTGGCAAACTTCTACTCATTCTGCATGCTTTCCTTAAATACTACCAAACTTTTCTCCTTCTTCTATTTATTTATTTATTTATTTATTTATTTTTTTTAGATGGAGTCTTGCTCTGTCGCCCACGCTAGAGTGCAATGGCACGATATCAGCTCACTGCAACCTCCGCCTCCCGGGTTCAAGCGATTCTCCTACCTCAGCCTCCCAAGTAGCTGGCATCACAGGCGCACGCTACACGCCTGGCTAATTTTTCGTATATAGTAGAAACGGGTTTCACCATGTTAGTCATGCTGGTCCCAAACTCCTGAGCTCAAGCAATCTGTCCACCTTGGCCTCCAAAATGCTAGGGTTACAGGAGTGAGCCACCACTTCTGGACACTACCAAACTTGTTAAGGCTTTAATTGTCACCTTGGATATAAAATGTCTGACACATACTGAATATGGTAATGACATAATAAGTGATAATTATAAGCTCCCAAAGGGGTTCTGGCACAGAGTGAACATTAATAAATTAGTAAATATTAGAAAAAAATAATAACAAGAAAAATGCTTAGTACCTTAATAAGTAGTAAATAATAAAAAATGACAATGATAATAACAAGGACAATGCTTAGTACCTTAAAGATGCTTGGCATTTATTTGTTAAGTGGACAAGTGGATAAATGAATAAAAAACATTTTTTTAGAAAATTTTGTTGGAAAAATGCAGAAATTCAGTAGAGACAGCTCTACTGTATTATGAGCACCTTAAAGACATATGGAATATGTGTATTCCATATTTGTCTCCTGCAACTTGCAAAAACCTAACTTATAGAAGTTCTTTGATAAATATATAATAAAGATATGCTCATACCGTTCATATTGAACAATGCATTGTGTCACATTTAGGTATCACAGTGACACTTTTGCTATTGTGAAAAATTTTTGTATTTTTATTATAATTTGTTGAGCCTAGAGTTAAGCTATTTGAATACTTATAATGTTAATATTTTGGCCAGCAGGAACAGAGTATCTTTTTGTAACAAAATTACTATTAACACACTAATTATCCAGCAGATAGAACAACACATCTTGTTCTAATGAAGTAAATATATCTTATTTGGTTTCAACTTAGAGGGAATGAAGTTGAAAATAGTGAGATCTTTTGGTACAAGACTGTGTAACATAACCTGCGCTTCTCAACAAAGATTTGCTTTTCTCACTTCTGCACTCAGTAGGTATCTTTGAAAAATGATATCCTATTGGTACTGATGCACCCTGGCTAAGTTTTGTAATTCTTGTTGACATTTGTTTATGGTGTCAGAAAAGTATTATTGAGTTCCAAATTCTAAAGATACTTACTTTTCTGTGACACAAGTCACTATGTCACACAGTTGATCCTTGAATAAGGGTTTTACTGTAGGAACCCACTAATAGACAGATTTATCTTTTCCTTTGCTGCTGCAAGATAGCAAGACAAATCTCTCCTCTCCCTCTCCCTTATCAGCCTACTCAACATGAAGGCAATGAGAATGAAGAACTTTATGAATAATAATTCACTTCCATTTAATAAATAGTGAATATATTTTTTCCTCCTTAAAACAGTTTCTTTTCTCCAGCTCACTTTATTGTAAGAATACAGTATATAGTACATATGACATAGAAACTATGTGTTAATTCACTGTTTATGCTTTCAGTAAGGCTCCAGGTCAACAGTAGACTATTAGTAGAGTTTTGGAGGAGTCAAAAGAAACAGATTTTCCTATAAAGCAGATTTTCAGCTGCTTGGGGGATCGGCACCCTAACTCTCATGTTACTCAAGACTCAACTGTAATTAATTCTCATTTACTAAATGTAAACCATTTATTGTAAAAATTAAATAGAGCCCAGAAGTTCAAGACCAGCCTAGGCAACATAAGGAGACCCTGTCTCTACAATTAAATAAATAAATACATACATACATACATACATACATACATACATACATAATTATTTCTTCATAGGTTATAATACTGAAATGTTGCAGTTTTTGTTATTAATTCCTACTTTTCATTATTAGATGTTCCATTCTTTGTGGCTTGTAATTCAGGGCATCTAAGCTACTTTATAATTTGTAATAAAATTTATTTATAAATATTAATTTATTAAATTGGATAACCTGATTATCCCCTATTACCAAGCTCATCAATCACACCAAGTGTTATACATTTTATCACAAACCTAAGTTGTTATGACAATTGAGGAAACATACAATATACAAACTTAAAAATTGTTTTACTTATTTATACAAAAGTATTATATAAAATTTTAGGGAACATAATTAAGAAAATTTTTTTCGGATAATTTCTGAGATTATAAACTACGTACAACTAAATTCTTAACTAATTC
Organism: Homo sapiens; assembly: GCF_000001405.40. Lineage (NCBI taxonomy): Eukaryota > Metazoa > Chordata > Mammalia > Primates > Hominidae > Homo > Homo sapiens. Next base: position 95,640 of record NW_003315934.1, read on the forward strand.
TGAATAATAAACTAAAAAAATTAAATCAAAGCTATATATATATGTACACACACACATATGTATATATGTAAACACATCCTATTTCCACATTGCTTTTTTAATTGCTGTTGTATGATCAACATTTCCATAACCTTATGGTAGCACCACCAAGAGTAGTTTACTATCAGAAGTCTTACCTGGATTGCTATTTTGAGGATTTTTAGATATCTTTTGTTTATATTCCAAAAGGTGTTGATGAATGCTATGTATAAAAATGTAATAAATAAAACTATTATTTTAACACTGATATAAAAACATTTACCAAATTTATTAAGTTCTTAGAGTATTTCAGACAATATCAGAGCTAACATCAGAATATTACTTATTCTATTACTTTAAGTTTGTAAGCTCTATGAATTTATTAATCTGCTAATTAAAGAAGAAAGAAAGTAGATGAAATACTCATGAATTCAGGGCAGGGTAACTCCGTACATTCACTAGAGTTAGCTTGGCATAATGGAAAATGTCCTTAACTCAGAATAAGTCCTAGCGCAGTAACCAACAGGTATTTTTTCTGGAACAAGTTGCTTCTCTTAGGCTCAACGTCTTCTAAAAATGAGAATTTTAGAGCCTTATTTCACTAGGTTATTATAAAGATTTAACAAGATAACATTTTTTAATGCTCAAATAGTGAAGCAATGAAATAATTTGTTCTTGAATCTTATTGCTGAAGCTATTTTTAAATTCTCAATAAAATCCAATGTGTTAGCCTGGTGCAGTGGCTCATGCCTGTGACATAAGCACTTTGGGATGCTGAGACAGGAGGACTGCTTGAGCCCAGAAGTTCAAGACCAGCCTGGGCAACATAGGGATACCCTGTCTCTGCAAAACATAAATAAATTACAAAAAACAAAAGAACAAAAAAAAGTGTTTCTTCATATGTTATAATGTTCAAATGTTGCACTTTTCTGTTATTAACTCCTACTTTTGGTTATTAGATGTTCTATTCTTTGTGGCTTGTAATTCAAGGCATCTAAGCTATTTTATAATTTGTAATGAAATTTACTTATAAATATATTAATTCATTAAATTGGATAACCTGATTAGCCTCTATTACTGAGCTCATCAATCACACCAAGGGCAGAAAACTAATAGATGTCAGCATCTGGCTTGGACTATTACTACTCTTTATCTACCTCCTGAAACTCTGAATCAACAAATCTTTGTTAGAATGATGCTTAGTCACTATGCTCATTTCCAGCTGCTGTGGAAGAAAAAACCCTACCTTTATTTTTTGTAAGTTCCACAAAGATGCAAGTTGGTATTTCCTCATTTCTGAGATGCACTAAGAGCATATTGCACACAAGATCCTATGTGTTACCACATCTCATTTCATATATCACCTTGCATCAATATTTCTTGTATGAAAATCACAACTGCAATACTGGGTGACACCCATTTTGCTTTGACTCACACCATTTCCTTGGAGCTAGTTAGAAAGTAGTCAAATGTCCTTTTGGAAACTGCAAGAAATATGCAACACTTCACAAATCTGTGTGTCATCCTCGTGCAGGGACCATGCTGATCTTCTCGAAGTTGTTTCAATTTTACTATATGTACAGCTGATGCCAGCACGAATCCCTACTTTTATACCTGAAGACTGATCAGTCATGGATGAGGCTTAGCTCTGTTAAATCTAACCAACTTACTTGGGGTTTTGTGAAGTCTATTGAATGGCTTCATGGTGATGCAGAATTTGAAAATATTTTAAAAACTCGAGGTAGGGATGCAGGTAGCATGGGAGATTTTTACTTTTAGCAAAAAAGAATCACTTGAGGGGAGGAGCACGAGTTGGAACCCACTATAACTTGAGAAAGATGACATGGGATCTTACAGAATAAGATGAGACCTTCCACTACCTACAAAATGGTGCTACACAGATTATAAAGGTCCAGGGATGTAGTTGTGGTAACAAAATAAAAAGGGATCTCTAATTTCTTCCTGTAACATTATTTCAACCTGACTTACAGTTTCAAACTAATATTTGCTAGAGAAAATAGAAAGAAGCCACTCAAAGGATAACTTACCATGAAGGTCTAGGCCAAGTCCAGGCTAAGATGTGGGTTTCACATCAGGTTTTGAGTGTGAGGAGAAGAGTCAATTTGTTTACTATGTGTGTGGCTAAAGCTAAATGTCCTAGCTGCCAGAGCAGGGTGCTGGTACTTCGGAAACAATGGCTGAGAATATGTATGTGAACTGTAAAAAAATGAAATAACTTTGAAGTCTACATGTGGATCACCATGAAGACTGAGGGATCTGTATTAGTAAGAGCATCCTGGTAGCAAAGGTCAATCATTATCAGACTGCAGGAGTAGTTTCAACGGCAACAATGCAGCAACAGCATCAATGGAAACAACAAAATGAAGAGAATGGCCATTTCCCACCCCTCCAGTCTTTCTGACTTAAACAAAAGGAATGTCTTCCTTGGACTTAGGGAACCCCTTAGATTCTTTTAAAATTTCAAGGATGAAGGTATGGAAGACAGCCCCAGGGACACTATCAGGTTTTCTGCTAAAGTGGACATTTCAAGACCCAAATAACTAATTAGAAAAATCAAAATTGTGACACTATGTTTATCCCATGCATAGGGGATATACTGCAAATCAAGTAGACAACATTAGGATCCCTAGGGATAAAGCTGTTGAAAGTCCTAAAATAAAGAATCCTGGCCCATTACTCCTTCCAACTAGTCTAGCTTTTTGCCTAGTTTCTGGCTGATGAAGTGAACTAACTCACTGACATTCAAAAATTACCTGAAACAAACTATGAAATCTCACCTAGCCTTTAAATGTAAACATTTACGGATTAAATCTACTAGCAACAGCATAACCTCCTGCAGTCATTCCACACATATCTTCAGCACAGATGTCAATATCTTGCTGAAGAAGAATGCTGACTCTCTCTAATGATCCATGACATACAGCAAGCATGAGGGCTGTGCTAAAATAACAAAGAGATAACTTCATTATTAGGAACAGAACCAATTTAATATGTGCGTGTCAGTGTAGAATTAACCATTTACATGTACTAACAAAGCTAAGTATATTGAGTGCTCAAGTGTTTATCCTTGTAAATCACCACCAAGGCTAAAAGGAAGGAGCAAAAAGACTCATGTCCCACTGGGATATGGCATACTAGAAGTGGCTAACATAAAGTCCTTTGAGGGGCAAGAAAATATGCTCTGTTCACGAATCTTAAAGAGGCAAAAATTTAAGTGAAGAAATCTTTATTTCTTCCTTAGTCTGATAAAATATTTTGTTCTTCAAAATCAGCTAGAAGTCAGACAAATGAGAGCACTCTGAAGGCTTAAAACAATATTAGGAGTAATGATATTAGTATTAGTCATAGTAAGTTCAGTTAATGATGCTGATAAGAACGTGTGAGACATTGAATTAAATGCTGTTGATATTCATAATGTTATTCCCACACAACTGTCCTTAAAGGACATATTATTATTCCCCTTTTCATATAGAAAATCATACTTGGTATTAAGTAATGTTTGCAAAATCAAACATATCAAGTGAGGAAGCTAGACATGAATCCATTCTTATGTGAGTCAAAAGCCTATCTGTTTTTATCACTCACCTATGGCTTGTCTTTTTTTTTTTTTTTTTTTTTTGAGACGGATTTTTGCTCTTATTGTACAAGCTGGAGTGCAATGGCACAATCTCAGCTCACTGCAACCTCCGCCTCCCGGGTTCAAGTGATTCTCCTGCCTCAGCCTCCCAAGTAGCTGGGATGACAGCCACCCGCCATCACACCTGGCTAATTTTTTGTATTTTTAATAGGAACAGGGTTTCACCGTGTTACCCAGGTTGGTCTTGAACACCTTACCTCAGGCGATCCACCTGCGTCGGCTTCCCAAAGTGCTGGGATTACTGGCGTGAGCCACCGCGCCCGGCTGGATTATCTTAATTAACTAAAATGTTAATCCAATTAAAGATGTCTTTCTTCCCTCTACCTATACAAATTAGAAATAATAATACACTACGAATAAAAAAGGAAAAAAATGAGAAATTCACAATATCTGATGATAGCAATTAATAGTCATGTAGGGAAAACGTAAAATTAATATTCTTCAAAGAAAACAACTTAAAGCAAACAGTCATCCTAAAGACAAAATGATTTTAAACTCCTATTTCAGATTAATATTGCTTTTTTTTTTTTTTTTTTTTGAGACAGAGTCTTGCTCTGTTACCCAGGCTGGAGTGCGGTGGCACAATCTTAGCTCACTTCAACCTCTGCCTCCCTGGTTCAAGTGATTTTCGTGCCTCAGCCTCCTGAGTAGCTGGAACTACAGGCATGTACAACCATGCCCGGCTAATTTTTGTATTTTTAGTAGAGATGGGGTTTCACCATGTTGGCTAGGCTGGTCTTGAACTCCTGGCCTCAAGTGTTCCAACCACCTTGGCCTCCCAAAATGCTGGGATAACAGGCGAGAGCTACCATGCCCAGCAAATATTGCATTTTTTAAAAAGTGTATAAAAAACAGAAGTTAGAAAAATACTATAAATGTGTTAATCATTCAATATTTAGCCAATAGAAAATAATGCAACCAAAAACATCAGATTAAAAATAAGAATCAGTCAGTATAATAAGAGAAGATAAATCCTACTATATACTGTTCTTTATGTTGACCAGTCCAAATAATTGCTTTTCTTCCTAACTGATAATTTGTGTTGATAGTTTTCACTATAATTTAATAATTTTAAGTAAAGGTTATTAATATTTCTGACTTGAGTGTTATTACTCTAGAACACTACTCAAGTGTTTTTTAATAAAAAAAGAACTACTATACCATTTAAACTTATCAACTGCATTTGCACTGGCATTTTTTGTCACTAAAAATTCCACAATTTCCTCGCTTCTTTTCGTTATGACCAGTAAAAGTGGTGTGAGGCAAGCCTGTAAAACAGCAAAGACAATTTATAATTCATGAAATTACATATTTCTCAGCTGAACTGAATACCTTGTATAATATCCTATGAACTTAAACTTAAAATAGAAAGTAAATCAATAGCAGCCCCTTCTTTCTCCCTTTTCTGTGCTTTCCCATGCACTGCACCTTCCCTTGGAAACATTCAGCCTCTGCATCACCACATTAACTCTGGTTATCCCCAAGAATCTTTATATTCTAATGGTTTTATTGTTTCCCATCTAAAGCAAGAGCTTCTTGAGGAGAGGGGCTGTGTCTTTTATCTCTATATCCTTAAACCCCAAGATACAGTAGTAAATACTTTGTTTTTTATTAAATTACTAATCTAAATTATTACCTGTAGAGCAGTGTTTCTTAAACTATATTCCAGAGAATAATTACCTTACCAGAAGCATTGTACCCCAACAGATTCCACATTATCTATGTTCAAGAAATATTATAAAACTGTGAATTAAATGTCCGTTATCCAAGAAATGACCTGAACTTTGCCTAATCCTTATTTGACAATATATTTTTGTGGCAGACATTAATATTTGACAAATTAGAATTTCAGGGATACGGTTTTGAAAGCTTCCCAAGAAAAATGGAGGTTTCCTCTGGTGATACAAACTCGCTGATTCTCTTCTATCAATGATCCTAAGATCCCAGATGCCAGTGTCAGGCACTCCTGCTCTAAATGGGTCACTAAAGAAGTAGGCTCTAAATTAAAAGAGATTGGCTTTAAATGAACTTTGATTGCTTATTATAAGTGGTCCATGGGGTTTCTCCTATTACAAGACAATAGAATTTTATCTCAGCTATTAGAAATTCAGTATAAAAGTTTATTCTCAATTATAATGATAATACTAGCACCCTAATGCATATCTAATTCTTAAAATGCAATAATCCATTTTGATTCTGGTTTGTATTGTAATTGCTACTTAATTTTTGGGAAAATATCAGAAATATGAATAAAATGGCTTATTAATGAAAGTTCTAACTCATCTATATAGATTAGCATAATAGAAGCCACAAAATCACTTGAATTTTAAGGGACAATTCTGAGGAGAAAGATATAATATTTTCTGCAATAGGCATAACCTATTCAAATATAACCATGATTAATCTAAAAAGGCTTAAAGGCCTTCTAATAGAAGATGATTATTTATGGTTTATATAAGGAAAAATCATTGTTTAAAAAATCTAAATTCTAGACGTTAATGCCATTATTAATGATTTAATGTAAAATATAAACTATATATTATAAACACCTATCAACTGTCTTGAACACCTTGAAATCTTTACCATAATATACTATGAGAGAGGAATTGATAACTGAAGTATTTACAGAGGCAAAAGGGGTAAGTTGAGTAAGTGATGTGCCTAGGTGGGCACAGCAGCAAACTGGAAACATATGCTTTGTGTAAAGCTAGAACCTCTTCAGAGCATACCAGTCATATGGGCTCAAGAGACACCAGATTCTATCCTTTAAGAGGAAATCCAGATTTCTGCATGTCTCCTAAATTTTACACGGTGACTTAATTTATGCAGGCAAATTTTGCTTTCTTGTAGTTTTACACTAATTGGAAAGAAAAAAAAACTTGGGTGGGAAAAAATGTTTGAATAAGTTTTACCTTTAACAAATTCAAATATTTATCATAAGTGCACAGAAAAGCCATACTCTCTAATAGTTCTTGTAAAAATATTAATATTAAAGTAAAATCTTAGACAAGTTCTTTCAAACTATTTTCATTTGAGGAATGTTTGAGCTTCCAAATATAAAAAAACTTGCATATGTTAATGTTAAAACAAACAGATTTCAAATATTTTGAAAATAACATTGGTTAAGGTCTACCTTGTTTTTCACTTGGATGTCTGCACCACGTGACAGCAGTTTTGCCACCACTGACAAATTCTCACTATAAACAGCATAATGGAGAGCCATGTTGCCATACACATCTACAATATTTGGACTGGGACCAGAATCTACCAGAATATTTGCATAAGCCTCCCTCCAGCATTGTAGAGCCTGTCAGTATTAAAGCAAGAAGTGAATTATAAATTATAGGAAATCAAAATAAATATTTCACAGGTTTCAGAAACTAGTTGTATTTCAATGAGATAAATTCATTTTTATTCCACGTATTTAAACCAAATCCATCTCCTGCTGAAAGGACTGGCTACTATTTACCTTCATCAGAGGTGTCCTGTTTTCACTGTCACGGACATCAAGCCGGCACTTTCTGTCTGCCAGAAGTGTTATTACTTCCACATGGCTGTTGACACAGGCCCCATGTAGAGCAGTCCTATGAGAGTGAGAGGACTTTTTAGGAAAGTTTAGTCCATTGTCTCAAAACATACAATGATTTATACAATTGTAAACATTAAATACCATGCTCTTTCTCTGCCTTCAAAACAAATATTTAATATTCTCCTTAAGAAAGTACAACATTCATTCACTCTTATTACTCACTACATTAATGAAAGAGTGGCCTATTTGAATAGAAAGAGCTTGGCCTTTGGACTCAGTTCAACTTGGGCTTGAATAAACTTTACGGTCTTTCACTTACTAGCTGTCTCTTAACCTCTCTGTGCCTCAATTTTCTCATCAATAAAGTGAAGATGAATACAGCAGTTATCTCACAGGACATCACTGTGATGCCTCGATGAGAATCTATGCAAAGTATTTTGAAGAGTTTTTAGCACATGTAACAGCTCAGTAATTGTTAGATATTATAATTATAACTTCTACTTAACAAAGACAACATTTTAAGTAAAATAATACAATCATGCCTACTTTGTGGTGTGTTTTAAAGGTTACAGATAACACTGTATTTTAACGGTTCTAAGATGCTCAATTTCTCATATTTTAGCATCTCTGACATTGAAATGCCACTTACAATTCATTATTTATTAGAACTATATTTGGCAAAAATTTAAACAATCTTTTATTGGTACATAAAATAAGGAGGCATCACACAATTCAGGGTGCCTTCCATGAAGTGGAATATGGTATATACAACAGGACGATGGTAGTCCTAATCACAGGATTTACACTTAAAGAAATTTTAGCTTTTAAGAGTACTACGCAAAAGGAGAGTTGAAATAAAAACAACAAATTGTTAAAACAAAGTACTCCTTTAATATTTTAAAAACTTCAAGCCAAAGAAAACTTGGGATTCAAATGAATAGGTATGGCTCATTTTATTTTGTATTTAGATTTACAGAATGTATATTAATTCATATTTAGATTTATGGAGGGAGTACATGTAAATTAGGTATTTCCAATTATTCATATTACTATTTAAAGCTGTTATAAATTTCCAAAATCGTGGTTGGTAGTTATCTTTTACTAATTTCTCACTTCAGAAGTATTTTTGTTTGAAAGATGAGAGGAAAAGCTTCAATTGAGATTCAGTCCTATTACTCCAATTTTAAGCCTCTCATGTTGCTGAGGCTGAGCAGGTAAATGTGAAATTTTTAAGGATGAAAGGGTCTTGAGAGTTAATAGAATGTGTCTTCTACATAATAGGCATTCAGCTTACATGTGATAAATGGATTCAAAGAATGGATAAATATAGTTGGGAAGTTCAATATCTTAAAAAACTGCTATAAATAAAGCACTTATATTTGCTACTTTATTTTCCTAATAACAAAACTACACTAAAATGATTAATCTGTAATTATTGACATATATATAATAAATCTAGATATAATAAAAATATGTTTCTAATAAAATGTACATGTAAATCAACAAGCACAGATAAAAAGTTTCTCTTCTGAAAATGCTAAAAGTTCACAGAATATACTAATCCACAAAAAATAAAAATTAAAATATAGAAAGTGAAAAATTATTTTAATCTGTGCAAAATTCATATTCCTGCTCTTCCCCAAAATTATTTCATTAATAATAAACTTTTACTAATAACATTGTACTTGTTCAATGCAGAAATCAAAGATAATAAAAAGGAAAAACATTTTATATTAAAACAAATGCCCTCAAATAACAAATTTTATCATATTTCGTACATAATTTCAGATAACACAAGACCATCATCTGTATGTATAAACAAACTGAACTTTACCCTTACTTGGTACACCAAAATACATTTTCAAATGTCAACATACTTCTGTATATGTTTCTACATTCAGTGGTCACATTTTATCCCACGCTGTAAATTCACTGAAATGTATTTATAAAAGCCATTGTATGGATTCTTCTTAATACACTGATATTTTAAGCAGCGCTCAAAAAAGAAATTGTGTGTATGTTTCCTTATTTTCTAAAAATATCTTAATGTAATAGAATTGATCACCAACAGGCATATACAATTTTTTAAATATGGTACTTACCACCAAATTGTCTATTTGAAAAGTCATCTGCAACTTAAACTTTAAGCAGCAGTATAAATATCACTGCTCTTTATCCTCATAAACTTTGTGGATAGAAAACAGTATTTGATTCCTGTTTTAACTTAAATGCCTTCTCTAACGAGGAACACTAAATATTGTTTCCTGTGTGCATAAGTCACTTGCAGATCTAGAAGAAGGAGTTTGCCCAATTTTAAATTAGAGGCAAAGTACTTTTCTTAGATCTGCAATTTACATCTCTAATTTAAATTGCCCAATTTTAAATAGAGGATTTTTTTGTTGATTTGAGTGAATTCTCTGTAAAATGAAGATTTTTAAATCTGCTATATATACACACATGCACATACATGTGTAGTAAATATTTTACAAGTATGCTGCCTTTTATTTTTTCTCAAATGCAGGGTAATTTTTGTTTTGCTAAATTAACCTTCACAATGCTTATTTCTGAGAGTCTTAGAAAGGTTTTGTCAACATAAAAATGTATCTGTGTAAATAGGCATTTATATTTTCTTCTGATTTTTTTTCATTTTGTATATTAAAAATTTTTAATCTATATTCCATCAGGAACTTATTTCTTTTATGTACTGTAACTTTGGCATTTTTTTCTAGAGATCATCAAACCCAAGAGAGTCTAGATTTTCTCCTGTTATTTTCCAGAAGTTTTATAGTTTTGTATTTGACATTTAGGTCCGTGATTCATTTTGACTTAATTTTTGTGAGAAGGTAAGATCTGATTCATTTTTTTTACATGTGGGTATTCAGTTGTTCCAGCACCACTTTCTGAAGAAACCAACCTTTGTTTCATCATGTTGCCTTTACTTTTTCATCAAAGATTAATTAAATATATCGATGTGTCGCTATTTCTAAACTCTCTGTCTTGTTTCATTAACCTGTCTATTCTTTCATCAATATGATACTGCCTTGATTACCGTAGCCTTACAGTAAGTCTTGAAGTTGAGTAGTGCCTGTCTGTCCTCCAGCTTTGTTCTCCTTCAATATTGTGTTAGCTATTCAAGGTCTTTTTCTTCCCCATATAAGCTTTAGAATTACTTTTTCTATATCCATAAAATAATTTGCTTCCATTTTGATTAGAAGTGCATTGAATCTGTACATTGGTAAGAAATGACATCCTGATGATACTGAGTTATTCTATTCATGAATATGATGTATCTTCTCCATCTCTTCAGTTCTTTTTTTATTTCCATCATCACATATGGACAGTTTATGAAATTACATAACTCCCTCTACCTTGACCAAAGGACAGTGATGAATTCCTCGTTCTGCAGCCAACAAGTCACCTCTGAGGGCCATGTGTCTAAACATAGACAGGAGGGTAAGAAAATGATAAAGACATCCTGGGAAAAATAGGAAATTCGAGAATCAGCAACTGTGTCTAAGTAACTCCTTTCCATTTCCCCAGGACACCTGTTGCTTCAGCCAACACCTGCTGGCATGTGCTGAGGATGCTGGTGCTGCTGGCTTTCCCAGCCCTGCCCCCGGGGCTGCTTTGGGTGTGTGCCTCTTGACTTTAGTGAGAATGTACTTTTTCATCCCTACCATGGGTGAAAAGTTTTCACAAATAAAAACTTTTTAAAATAATGCCAACTTTTGTATTAGATAGAGGTGCTGCGTGTGCAGGTTTGCGTGTGTCTTTTTGGTAGAATGTTGTATTTTCTTTTGGGGATATTCCCAGTAATGAGATTGCTGGGTCAATTAGTAGCTGTGTTTTACATCTTTTGAGAAATCCCCAAACTGCTTTCCACAGTGGCTGACCTAATTTACATTCCCAGAGACAGTGAATAGGAGTTTCCTTTGCAGCCTCGCCAGCATCTGTTAACAAATGACCACTTTTATTCCAGACATAGATCATCTGTTAGTTTTGATTTTAGCACATCCTCTGAAGAAGATAGTGTTTTTCACAACCAAAGATGATTTCACCTTCCAAACGTGTTTTTTTTTTCTCATTTTCTGATGGCATGCGGAACTTTCTGTCTGCATCAGTTTGGGTATAAGTTAAGAGCATTGTACCTTGAAGTGTCCCATCTCACTGTTCCCATGCAGTGTTCTGTCCCAGAACTCTTCACTAGCTTTTTACCCCTGTGGGCCCAGTAGGGAGAGGAGCCCCCCAGAAAGTCTTTCACCAGGCAAGTGACGAACTAAAGAATTACACAATCATGTGTGACTGTTCTCAAAGCTCCCAAACATAGAAAGGGGGACAGTTGCAGGCAATACAGCTTTATTAATGGCAGTAACATCTCAGCTCAGCAGGAAACATACTGTGGGCTATGAGAACAGGTTACAATGAATATTGAGGCAGAAAAAGTCACATTAATCACATATTAGCCCCAAAATGCTCTTGCTCAAATGGTAACTGTCCTTCCTGCACATGTGGCAATACCAGACTTGCAGAAAGCACACGTGGTGAGAGACAAAGCCTGCTGCCTGTCTGTGAGCTTCAGTGCCCAATGAGACGCAGCAAGCTTTCGCCTCTTCTTTCTACACTCCTGCTTTTATTGCACAGTACTTTTTTACATATGTTTTATTCCATTTTTGAATGTTGTATTCCATTGGTCTTTCAGACTAATGATGAAACAACACAACACAATTTTAATTTCCAAGTCTCTACAATATTTTAAAGGGGAAGTCACTCTCTTTTAATTCTCAGACTTTTCATGGATATTTTAATTTGTTTGCTCTTCTTTACAATAAAATTTCTATATCCAGAACACAGATGTTATCTATATTGGAGTTAAAATCAACTTATTTTATTTTTTTTATTTTTTGACTTTTATTTTAATCTCAGGGGCACATGTGCAGGATGTACAGGTTTGTTACATAGGGAAATGTCTGTCAGCAGGGCGGGGTTGTTGTACAGATTATTTCATCACCCAGGTGTTAAGCCTGGTGTCCATTAGTTTTTTTTCCCGATCCTCTCTCTCCTTCCACCTTCCACCCTCCGATAGGCCCCAGTGTGTGTTGTTTCCCTCTATGTGTCCATGTGTTCTCATCATTTAGCTCCCACTTACAAGTGAGAACATGCTGTATTTGGTTTTCTGTTCCTGAATTCCTTTGCAAGATAATGGTCTCCACCTCCGTCCATGCCCTTGCAAAGGTACATATACACCATGGAATACCATACAGCCATAAAATCAACTTATTAATTAAAGTACTTTTGATGTCTTAATAATGTTGACCCTGCCTAATCATGTAATGTCATAATTTTTCATTTATACAAATCTATTTTTAGGTTTTTAAGAAACATTTCGCACCAATTCCATACTAATTAAATTATTTTAAATAATTTTCTTTAAAATGTTGGCATTATCTCTTTTCCATCTATGAACACAAGACATTCTCATTAATTCAATTAACATAATTTGTTGTGTTAATGAATTTCCTAACGCGATGAGTCTCACCTGCATTTCTGGAATAAATGGACTTCCTAATGATCTAATATTTTAAAGGGTTGGCACAATGGTTTTTAACATTCAAAAATTTTACTTTCATATTAATATGCTCTAATTATGTATAATACTCCATGCGGCATCAAACAAGTAAAGTTATCATATCAGTTTTTTTCATTTTTAAAATAGTTCAGTTTTATTCTGCTAGTACCATAAAAACAATGTAAACACAAGCGCTTTGTACATCTTTCTGGTGAATTCACATAATGCTTAGTTCCCTGATCCTTTGACCTCCTCGTCTTCTCCAGTTATTTTCTGTTTGAACCACTGGCCTCAGGAGTGGAGTAGGTTTGGTGCTTAGGAGAGAGCAATGTGGCTTTTTGGTATGACTCGTTTGCCCTCTCAGCACACTCCCGTTACTCCTAACACAAAGCTTGAGGTTTAAGTCCTTAAACCTGTAGGTTTCACCATCAGCTTTTTCTTTCTTTCTTTCTTTCTTTCTTTCTTTCTTTCTTTCTTTCTTTCTTTCTTTCTTTCTTTCTTTCTCTTTCTTTCCTTCCTTCCTTCCTTCCTTCCTTCCTTCCTTCCTTCCTTCCTTCCTTCATTTCCTCTTTCTTTCTCTTTCTTTCTTTCTCTCTCTCTTTCTCTCTCTCTCTTTCTTTCTTTTTTCTTTTTCTTTTTTTTCTTTTCGCATAGGCATTACTAGGGATGTGAATGGGAGACTGGTGTAGAAAGTGCTGAGGAGCCGAAGCCAACAAATTGCTTTAAACACAAGATGAAAATGCTCTGTTCCATCCACACAAAGAATCACCTAATACTGGTGTGAGGCATCTCACTTAGCTGTGGAGGAGTCCTTGGAATTAGATCTCAGAAAGACAGTTCTGGCTTTAAGACAGTAAAACCTTTTGGCAATGGGCCAATTGCCTTGAAAAAAAAAAAAAACCAGAGTTCTACTTTAAAGACCTTGCAAGTGGAGAATTGTCCTACAAAGATTCTTGGAAATGTTAACAGAGATAACTGACATGGGTAACTGGGGGCCAACCAGGAACTGTCAACAGCCAGATCTCAGCAAACACAGGACAGCCAGTTAATAGTTCCTTCAGTTCTCTGATGACCACAAATGTAATTTTATTTTATTTAGCCTTGTGGAGGTTCTGCAACAAATGTAATTTTAAAGGAATTGGGAGCCAGAAAGATAAATGCAACTCCTTCAACTGTGTGACACGGCAGACTGATTAATCTGGGTTCCCAGAGTGTGGAGCAAGTGCCCTGCATTTGCACTTGCAGATGCAGAACGGCCCAGGGGGAACTTGCATGATGCTGAACCCCACAGGACAGAATTACTTCAATCGCCTGCTCCTGACTACTATAAGGAAGAAGTCTCAGTGTCTCAGTTTGGATCTACACTCGGATTTACTTGTCTTTTCTTTCCTTTCTTTCTTTCCTTTCTTTCTTTCTTTCTTTCTTTCTTTTCTTTCTTTCTTTCTTTCTTTCTTTCTTTCTTTCTTTCTTTTCTTTCTTTCTTTCTTTCTTTCTTTGTTTCTTTCTTTCTATCTTTCCTTCTTTCTTTCTTTCTCTCTCTTTCTTTCTTTCTTTCTTTCTTTCTTTCTCTCTTTCTTGTTCATTTCTTTCTTTCTTTCTTCTTTTTTTTTTTCTGGAGATGGAGTTTCCCTCTGTCACCCAGGCTGGAGTGCAGTGGTGCAATCTTGGCTCACTGCAACCTCCACCTCCTGGGTTCAAGCAATTCTCCTACCTCAGCCTCCCCAGTAGCTGGGACTACAGGTGTGTGCCACCATGCCCGACTAATTTTTGTACTTATAGTAGAGACAGGGCTTCATCATGTTGGCCAGGCTGGTCTCAAACTCCTGAGCTCAAGTAATCCACCTGCCTCAACTTCCCAAAGTGCTGGGATTACAGACATAAGCCACCGCACCCGGCCTCTATGCTTGAATTTCTACCCTTAGCTAATCTCTCTAACACACATGCCTTTCATTGGATAAAACTGGCTAGGCAGACTAATTACACCTTCCTGTGTAATACAAGCCCCTCCCTGGCTTGTATAGTTGCCTTCCACTTGTGACAAGTGCTATGAATTTTCCTTTTTAGGAAGTGATACACAATTTTTTTCTTGAACAGGATTTTTAACTCAAAATAATGAGATAGTGTAAACATCATGACAATTCTGGAATGTCTGAAGTTTGAGATAAAGATTGTCTAAGAAAAGCTAAGATTGTCTTAACTGTTTATATGTGGTATCTGGAACATGGGCATCAGGAATCAAGTGATGCCACTGCTACTGGGCAGAGTTTTCATATTTTATCTAAACAAATGACACTGACCTACTTTAATAAAATTTCAGAAAAGCCATCTGGAATCAGCCCCATCATGTCCAGATTGGAAGGTGTTTGGGGACCAATGAAACATACCAGAAATACTTTTCTTCCCCCAAAACAAATGTAATGAATGTCAAAGTATTGATACTAATTTAGATTGTGAATACATATTAAGTTTTGCTTCATTGATTGTAGCACTGGCAGCTGTTTTGCAGAACACTGCATATTAAACTGTAGGCAGCTGACAACAAATATCAGCGGAAGGGGATATTTAAAAGCCAGTTAAATTAATCATTGTTTTTTAGGAACCTGAGTCACGATTAATCCCCTGGAGCTTTTACAGACAGACCCTTGCCAAAAATCTCCCAGAAGGAACATCTGTAGGCTATTTTGTTTTGAGATGTAAACCCATCTGTGATGTCTTGCTGACATTTTAGATTATATATACAAGTCCTATAATGAATAGCATTCACAAAATTTGTGAAGCAAAAAAATTAAAATTGTTCAAAAGCCTGATTTTTGCTGGCAAAGTTTATCCATGAGAACATAGCAATTAGCCCCTTACCCCTCCAAAAGAAACCCTACAACCCTAAAACCAATCCAAATTGTGTAATTTAGAAGAAATAGGTTTTCAGTGCCTACGACTGAAGAGTTCATTAAGGTTTTGCAGCTGGAGGTTTTAAAAAATCCCACTTTTCGAAACTATCTGACGATCAAGGGCACAGAGACTAACGTAATGCTGATTCTCACTGGCGCAAACAGCTTGTGGATTGCATAGGCCACCACAAAGGTACTTGTGCCTGCTGCCATTTTTGACTGTACGAGGGACTCTTTAAATCCGAGTTTCAGCAGGACTGCAGACATGTCCACACCACTTGACACAACCATGTAAAATATGACCAAGGAAATGAATGAGATTCCAGTGTACAACGACACGCCAACAGTGTCATATTCTTGAAAAATCTTTTTCAGTTGCTGTGACTTGCTTTGCTTTTTCTCCTCTGTGCAGCTGACGCTGCTGCCTGTTCTCTCCGTGGCCTGGCTGAGGTCCTGGCTGCCGCGGCAGTCCCCACGGCTGTGCGGAGCAGCCGGGCATCTGGCCTGGGCAGGAGCAGGGCCAGGGCCAGGGGCAGCGGGGCACAGGGGGTGGTCGCGCCCAGGAGCCATGTGGCGCAAGGCCGGACCCAGGCGCCCACCCTGCCTGCCGGGCCCAGCCCCGCCAGCAACACGGCCATGGCGCGCAGCTGAGCTCTGCCCATATCACTTTTATATCCTTCCTGGAAACGATTGGGAAGATTGGTTACTTTATAACTTTTAAATAGTTTAAGAGTATTGGTATATTAATTAGTTCATGAGTAAAATTTTCTTCTGGACAATATAAATTTGGTGCTCTCTTGTGCGGAAAACAAATCTTTAATAAATGTTGTTTTTTCTATGAATATTATTTAATTTAGCATCTCTATCTCCGTAAGTATCTAAAAATACATATTCCTAGACTATATATGAGCCACATTTTAATGTTAATTTGCATCGAATCACACAATTTTGTCCCTATTTTTCATTTTAATATTTGTCTTTAAGTTCTTCTCTGCACTGTAACCTGTTGACACCTCCTTCTCAAGCTCTTTGTGTGGTCCCATCTATTTACAATTCACTAATAGTTTGGCTCAGGAATTTGGGGGTTAACTGCAGTCAGATTTTCAGCAGAGGCAGATCTCAGGGAAGCACGGAATCCGGTAAGAGACATGTGCTTTGCTGTCAGTATCTCATGTCTCAGACTCGGCATGTCCTGTTCTCTCCATGTGAGCCCCTATCTGCCTCCAGGGATCATGGAAAAACAGAGCCTCTCCCATTTTCATGTCTTTGAAGATGCTTGGTAGAAAGTTGTCATTTTTTTTGGTAATTGGAAACGAAGACAAAGTTTTTCCAAAATAATTTTAAGTCATCAAATATGTACTGTCCTTGTGTCTACAAGTGAGATGACAATTGTAGTTCTCTGGGGAAGTAAAGTCACAGGATCACAAGCCCATATCTCAGACCTCTATGCACTCATCGGCTGTTGTGAACATAAACCTGAGCCCATTGTCCCAGCAGCAGAAGGAAATCAAGCAAGTAGTTTATATTTCAGTCTGTGGGCAGAGTCTATTGTCTGTGGATCAATAGACAGAATACGTGCTCTTTTCTGGAAAAAAAATTCTGGGTCACGAACTGACCAGGGACAAATCCATTCAGGAAAGAGGAAATAATTACAGAGTCGTGAGTTAACCTGTGTGGAAATAACGGATGTCCAAGATCATAAACCAATTCATAACTGTTCCTAAATGAATTGTATGTAATTCTCACTGATGTCATTGTTGGATTTTGATGTATGATGCCACAGAATTTGTTTTCTGAAGGTTCTCTAGTATAATTTGAAAATTAATCTGATAGCTGTTCTATCTTTTCTACAGGAGTTGACACATTTCTAGGATTAGTAGAGGTAGTTCTAAAATACCTCCATCCCTGTAATAATGTATAAGATGTAGCTGATTGATTTTATTTTATTCAGAAATAGCAAATATATATAAGCTTTATACGTACTTTGTGTATATTTTGTATTTAATGGAGACTGATTTAGTGGTGACAGAAAACAACTGGTATCTGCAAATTATGATTAGACTATTTTTCTTTTATTATTTTTCGTTTTTAACTTTTGTGGGTGCACAGTAGGTGTCTATATTCGTAAGATTCATGAGATGTTTTGATGATGTGAAATGTGAAATAAGCACATCATGGAGAATGGGGTATCCATTCCCTCAAGCATTTATCCTTTGTGTTACAAACAATTTAGTCACACTTTTGAAGTCTTTTAAAAATGTACAACAAAGTTATTATTGACTATAGTCACCCTGATGTGCTATCAAATAGTAAGTCTTATTTATTTTTCTGAACTTTTTTTTTTACCCACTAACCATGCCCACATCCCAAGCTCTCCACTGCCGTTCCCGGTCTCTGGTAACCATCCTTCTATGCTCTCTGTTCATGAGTTCAGTTGTTTTGATTTTTAGATCCCACAATTAAGTGAGAACATGTGATGTTTGTCTTTCTGTGCCTGACTTATTTCACTTAATTATTTCCAGGTCCACCTATGATGCTGCAAATGACAGGATCTCATTCTTTTTAAGGCTGAATAGTACTCTGTTTTGCATAAGTACCACATTTTTTAATCCATTCATCTGCTGATGGACACTTAGGTTGTTTTTAAATCTTAGCTATTGTAAACAGTCCTACAACAAACTTAGGAGTGCAGGTATCTTTTTGATATACTGGTTTCCTTTCTTTTGGATGTATACCCAACAGTGGGATTGCTGATTCATACGGTAGCTCAATTTTTTGTTTTTTGAGGAACCTCCAAACTGTTCTCCATAGTGGTTGCACTAAACTACATTCCCACCACCAGTGTCCAAAGGGTTCCCTGTCCTCCACATCCTCGCCAGCATTTGTTACTGCGTGTCTTTTTAGCCAGGGCAAGCAGCTAATATTCCTGGCTTTGAACTTTTTTTTTTTTTTTTAGACAGAGTCTCACTCTGTCGCCCAGGCTGGAGTGCAGTGGCTTGATTTCGGCTCACTGCAACCTGTCCCTCCAAGTTCAAGCAATTCTCCTGCCTCAGCCTCCCAGGTAGCTGCGATTACAAGTGCCTGCCACTGCACACAGCTAATTTTTTGTATTTTTACTAGAGATGGGATTTCACCATCTTGGCCAGGCTGGTCGTGAACTCCTGACTTCATGATCCACCCGCCTTAGCTTCCCAAAGTGTTGGGATTACAGGCATGAGCCACTGCGCCCAGCTGGCTTTGAACCTTTTTAAACCAATGGTACTCCTTCAAGTGACTCACCAAATTCAGTAGGCCTTAACTAAGGTTATGGCTTATTTGAGGTTGCACATGGAATCTCCAAAGAGGTGCAGACCAGTCCTCGCAAGATCCAGAACCACCCCAAAGACAGCCCAAGGAAAGGAAAGTTTTGCTACCTGCAAATAGGATACAACTCACATCTCTAGGGCGTCAACTTCTCAGCTGACCATCTACACACAAAGGCCCTAAATCTCTGTGTGCCCCCACAGACAGAAAAAGACGAGAAATAAAAAGATGGAAAAAATAGACACTGGGACCCACTTGAAAAGGGAGGGGAGGAGAATGGTGAGGGTTAAAAAGCCTACCTCTTAGATTCTATGCTCACTACCTGGGTGATGAAATCATTTGTACACCAAACCTCAGTGACATACAATTCACCCATGTAGCAAAACAGCACATGTACACACTGAACCTGAAATAAAAGTAAAAAAAATATATGTCCATTGGAGGGAAAAGGATGGATAACAAATGGTCCCCCAAAAGATAAAAATCACACAAATATCCAACCAAAGTGACTAATTCCCCACCAAGACTCAAACCCAGGCTACGGCAGTGAAAGGATGGAATTTTAACCAGGCTGCAAGGTGCAGTGGCCAGCACTGCAAATTCTGCAGGAGATTCACAGCAGGCACTTTGAGCATACGAAAACTTTAAACTTTGCTTTGGGCCAGATTTTCATTCTTTAATTTAGTCAAAAGAATTTCTAAGGCTAGCCATGAAACCACCATGAGTCTTTACTTTAAATTAATCTTTCCATAAATACAAATGAGGCAACTGTTTAGAATAAGAGATCTCTTTTTCTAAATTTAGGAGTCTTTCTGACATGAAGGATCAGTTTTCTAACCAGTAATGATTAGAATTTCCAATGGTGAACTTATTTCAATAGTGACTCTGTCCAGCAAGCCTGTTCATGAAAAGCCCAGAAGGCAATTACACAGGTTTAAAATAACTTTTACCATATAAGCAAAAGGTATTCCTGGAGACAGCATAGATGAGGCTAATGATCCTCAAAAAATTTACTCTCAGAAATAGGCTTAAGATGGCAAGAGCTCTTGTTGCCACAGATGGTTAAGAATGGTGTTTGTGCACATAGTACCTCCAGTAACCCACAAATTACTGGGGGACTGCCAATCACGGATGCCTTAATCTGTGATACCAGGGAGGCCCTCCTGAAAGTGTACTTTCCCAGGACTAACCGGGCAACAAGCGTTCATATGACAGAAGCCCCATAGGGATAGGACTTCTTAAGACAAACTCTCCTGAGAGCTTGACACATTTGAAACAAAAAGTGTGCTGCCTAAAAACTGATGTGTCTGAGGTCCCCAGCCAATTTTAGACTGGCCACTGGATGGGACCCAAACATCACACTTCTCAGATGGTGGAGACCAACTGTGCTCCCACTTGGTTAAAAGCCAAGCTCTCAAGGACATGAAACAAGATCGGAGGGAAACTTCATGTGGTTTTATTTGGGGAACAAATAGTAA
Source organism: Homo sapiens (assembly GCF_000001405.40). Lineage (NCBI taxonomy): Eukaryota > Metazoa > Chordata > Mammalia > Primates > Hominidae > Homo > Homo sapiens. Next base: position 116,080 of record NW_003315934.1, read on the forward strand.
AGTTTGCCTGAATAGACACCAGTCTGATCAGAGCCGTAAATCTGACCAGTCTTCAGAGGTGGCTCGAAATCGTGTTTCTAGGGGTTCTGGACCCCTGTTCTATTCTGAGGTGCCCTTCTTTATGACAGTACAACCCAGAGAGACAAACAGAGAGTGAGAGACTATTTCTAGGAGGAAAAGGGATCAAACAACATGATTATTCATGCCAAAGACTACACAAGAGTCGCTACATGCACGACTAGTCACACAAATCTTTTTCTTCCACTAATCAGGATTTTATGGAGAAAGAAAAGACAACAGTTTTCACCACCTGCTCAAACAGATTCCACACAGAGGCCGGCAGCCTGGCTGGTAAGAATTTCTTACTCTTCTGCCAGCTGCTCCGGTCCTGGGTTCTCTTGGCTGCAGCTTCCGGAAGAGCAGGCTTCGGTATTCTGCTCACAGCCACAAAATGATAGAGCACAAGGGAGCACTTCCCCTTTGCGCTCTAAAGTTTCACTGAAAAATCGACTGGCCAAGTGCAGATTAAGAGGAGAAATGGCATGCAGGGCTATTGATGTGCGCAAGGGAGAACCATAAAGTGCTGACCCCAACCTCCAATAGTGCTTAGCACAGCTACCACCTAGAGGCCACGGAAACAATGGGGGCTCACAGCATGGCCAGAAACAAGTGATGGCAAGATCAGGTTATAGTGGCAAGGCAGGCTATAAGAGAGAAGAGAAGGCCCGGCTTGCAAATGAGGTCTTGTTATATAGATGATACTTTACAGCCAACAGCCCTCAGAGAGGGTAGATGGTAGAGGTTCCTTTAAAAGTGGGGTGAAATATTTGTATTTACTTCACTGTGCTAGCCCATAGTATCCTCATCTCTTCTTAGAAGCTCAGGTAGGTAGCGGCTAGATAGGACTGGAATGAAATACTAATGAATTGTACTGGGTCCTGCAGTCTTTTGAAATCTCTCTTTTCCCTAAAACAGCCAGGCAACACTCTCTGACCTCTCCTTTGGTGGGAGACTGACTTCTCCCAACCACGAAGGGAGGAAATGGTCCTGGTGCTCGAAGTCCAGTGTGCAGCTGCATCTTCCTGCTGGACCAGAAGATCAACACTGGGTGGGGTCCCAGGGTTTTAAAATCACTGATCTGGAGAAACAGTGAGGCTCAGTCTGTCAATCAGAGTGTTTTACACATAGAGGGCGCCAGCCAAAATATAACTAGAAATAAACCGATACACACACATGTTAATGTGTATATTTTAAAATATATAAAGAAATATATACCACATGTAAATATATGGTAAACATATAAGTAAATAAGAATTAAAATAGAGATATTTACACATAAAGTATGTGATGCTGTCTTTTATTCTGAGGTGGTGTTTCTTCATGTAGGTGAGAGGCAACTTATGTATATATAACTAGAGATACTACATATAATTACATGTATGAACATGTATTCCTCTGTATATATAAAGATAAATATTTATTTATTAAAAAAACATAATCCCCAAATCTCACATAATCACACATGTCCCTCCTGCCCACCGTAGATGCAATTCCACATTCCCTGGAGGATCTCACATACACACAAACACACACATGCACACACACACACACACACTTCCATGTTCACTGGAGGATCTCACATAAACACACACACACACACACATGCACACACGCACACACACAGATGCACTCCCAAGTTCCCTGGAGGATCTCACATAACACACACACACACGCACGTACGTGCACACACACACACACACATACACACGCAGATGCACTTCCATGTTCCCTGGGAGACACTGTGCCTTTCTGTCACCTTGTGGCAGCACAGGGAGCCAAAAAGCCCACAGGAGTCTTTTTCTGCCAGTTTTATAAGGCATTTTATAGTTGGCAAATGCCTGGCCATTGGCCTTTAACCAGAGCAAGCCCAGTGGCCATTGCCCTCTAGTGGAAAAGCTGCCCACACCTCCAGAACCTCTCAATGAGGCTAGGCACCCATGTTTTGAGTACATAAGGTGGTTGCATCCAATGGTGTCCCACATGCGGTGGGTGAAGAAGAGGCTTTCCTGGGAGAAGAGAAAATGCTGGGTCTGAGCTTGCAGAATGTGCTGGGGGCAGTGCAGTTGTGGGGGGTTATGGTGGTACATGGCCAGAGGGGCGTAGGAGGACTGGGTGGGGTGCCCCTGAGAGCTTCTGGATGCCTAAGCCTACGCAAACTGAGAAAGCCTGTTAGAACAGGGTCTCACGGGCCTGAGGAATACCTGGGTGAAAGGCAGTAGGACAGCCATGAGCCTGAGACCTGACACTAGTGTGAGCAGCAGGGAAATAGGGGTCCGGCTTAACAAAACCCCCTGGACTGCAATACAGGTGGTTGACAAGGAAGAACAGTTCAGTGGCAGACTGCTGGGCACTGCCTTCCCAGATGGATGAAGATGAGTAATGCCTGTCCCCAAGCCAGGGCCCAGCTTGTGGTTGAGGCTGTCCATTGTGGTGGATTCAAGTGCGCTTGCTCAAGTAGGGATGCTACCGACAACCCTCAGGACTTGGGCCGCGAACACTGTTAGCTTCCTGGCTGGCTTGCGCTTGCCAAAACAAGGCTGGAAAATGCATGGCTGCACAAGCTGAAAAAATGAATGATCTCTTCTGTTATTAGACCTTCAGAGAGACGGTGACCGGGTGGAACTTGAATGGAAGAACACCTAATGTGATCAGCTATCGTAGGCTTTGGACGCTCCCATTCATGCCAACACAGCTGGTCAGCACTCCCTGTTGATCTCCAAAACTCTGAGTGCAAGCTGGCCCAAACACCAAGGGAAATAATGTCTCTGATCTGGACGTCCAGCGTGAAGCTGCGTCTTCTCACGTGACCAGACGATCAACACTCAGTGGGTCTCAGTGTTTTAAAATCACTGATCTGCAGAAACAGTGCAGCCCAGTCTGCTAGTCTGAAATGTCTCATACATACAGGGCACCACCTATGATATAACTAGAAATAAATATACTCGCACACATAAATGTGTTTACATTTAAAGGTATTCTGAGGTGCCCTTCTTTATGACAGTACAACCCAGAAAGTGTGTAGCATGTAAACATGTGTATCAACAAATAAATTGAAATATACATGTGTCGACGTAGATCTTTGCTGCACTCTCCACCAGTCTACCTTGGTGTTTCTCCATGCAGGTGATTACAAAACATAAAATATACATATTCTTATGAAGGAATAAATTTGAATATTTGGTATAATTATATAGATTTATATATAAATAGATATATTTAAAATAAATATATAAATACAAACAATATATTTAAAATAAGCATGTAAATACAAACACCTATGTATAAAATAATCATTATCCAAAACTCACTGAAAAACCCACATGTGCTACAAACAGATGTACCTGCGTGAATATTAGGGGCCATTGGTCCCCTGGGGCCTTCATGCCACCTACTAGCAGCCTAGGAAACCCTAAGGCCAGCAGGAGTCCTTTCCTGCCAGGTCCATGTCACTGGTCGTGGATGGGAAACACCTGGCCATTGCCCTTTAACAAGAGGCAGTCCAAGGGCCATCACCCTCCATTGAGAAAAATGGGCAGTTTCCCAGAACTTGTGCATCAGGTTAGCTGGGCTTCTTTGGAACACTTCAGGTGTGGGCAATATGATTAGTTTGGTGAGGAGAGAAGAGGCTTTCCATGGAGAGAAAGAAGGGTCTGACCCTCAGGATGCACTGGGAGCGGAGAAAGGCAGGTGCAGTAAGATGGCGCAGGGTGGAGGGACAGGCAGGCCACAGTGAGACTGCACCGAGTGCCTTTGAGAGCAAGTGCCTTGGGGACCAAGAGCAGCAGCGTGACTTCCCCCAAACACCGAGGGAAGCAATGGTCCTGACGCCCAAAGTCAAATGCACAGCTGCATCTTCCCTCTGGGCCAGAGAATCAACACTGGATGGGGCCTGAGCTTTGGGAATCACTGATCTGGAGGAACAGGGAGCCCCAGGCTGTCGATCTGGAGTGTTTCACACATGCAGGGCCCCAGCTAAGACATAGCGAGAAATAGATATATCCACACACAGAAATGTGTGTTTGTTAAAGATAGAAGGGCATGTGTGACATGTGAATATATGTGTCAGCATATAAATAAAGATTCATATATATACATATATATATTCATACAGGAAACTGTGTAGTGCTTTCTGCCTGTCCATGGTGGTGTTTCTCCATTTAGGCAAGAAGAAAACCTATCTCCCTATGTATCTATCTATCTATCTATCTATCTATCTATCTATCTATCTATCCATCCACACACATAAATACAGACATATTTATATACATAAGTGAATGTAAATATTCTGTGTAATTATCTATATTTATATATAGAAAAACGTGAACAAATATATAAATATAGGTATATATGTACAAGTCTCTATGTATAAAATAAACATAACCCAAACATGTCACCCCAAGTCCACACAGATGCACTTGCACTTATACTAGAAGCCGTTGGGCCCCCTTACTGCAGACTGGCAGTGGAGTGAACAAAAGGCCTGAAGCCTCCTTTCTGCCAGTTCCGTGTGAGCCTCCACAAATGACAAACACCTGAACATGGCCCTTTGACCAGATCCAGTCAAGGGCCATCGTCTTCTAGTGGGAAAGCTGCCCACTTATGCAGAAGCTGTCAGTCAGGACAGGGCCTCCTCTTTTGATAGTTGAGGTGGGGACATAGAGAGGCGTCTCAGTTTGGGTGGAGGCAGGGGAGGCTTTCCAGGAGGATGAAAACAGGCTAGGTCTGAACACACAGGAGGCACTGGGTGCAGCGTGAATCTGGGTGGGGTAAAGGGCTCTTGGGCCAGAGGGACAGCGAGGCCAGGACAGGATGGCTCTGAGTGCTCCTGAGAGCATTTGGGGAACAGGAAAGTGACCCCCAATTTATTCTGAAGACTGCACAGACCTGCATGAGCCTGTTACCACAGGCCCCAGCTGCATCTCGAGAAACCAGGGCAGACCCGGAGAACACTTGGATTAAAGACACCTGAGAGGGAGGCCAAGGCGGGCGGATCACTTGAGGTCAGGAGTTCGAGACCAGCCTGGCCAACGTGGGGAAAACCCATCTCTACTAAAACTATAAAAAAACTAGCGGGGCATGGTGGTGGGTGCCTGTAATCCCAGCTACTCAGGAGGCTGAGGCAGAAGAATCACTTGAACCTGGAAGGCGGAGGTTGCAGCGGGACAAGATCGCACCACTATATCCAGCCTGAGCGACAGAGCGAGACTCCATCTAAAATAATAATTAAAAAAAAAAAAAGACACCTGGGAGCCTATGGGCTCGAGGCTTCGTCCAAAACTTAGAGAATCATGGAAACGGGTCTGGCTTGACAAAACTTTCTGGTCCACAGTGTAGGTGGCAAACGAGGAAAACCAGGTCAGAGGTAGATGCTAGATATGGCCATCCACAGGGGATGGATGATGCCTTTCAGAGAATTCGGGTCCAGCTTGTGGGTGACGCAGGTCCATCCCAGGAGGCTGAACTGCACGCGCACAAGTGGGGAGTCCCCAGGGAGCCCTGAGGTTCCGGGCCTGGCATCTGGCCTTGGGACAGCAGCAGTGCTAGCTTTCTGCACAGACTTCGGGTCGCCAAGTCTAGGCTGAAAAATGTATCGCCTTACACCCAAAAGAAAGCCCTATCTCTTCTGTTTTTTGAAGCTCAGGGAGGTAGCAACCAGATGGAACAGCTGTGCCTTCCACTCTCCCAGAAGGTAAACAATTGGTGGGGCTCAGTGTGTGGAAACTGCTGCTCTGGAGAATGGAGCAGTGCGGTCTGCCGGTCTGGAGTGCTTCACACATACAGGGCACCAGCTAAGGCATAACTCAAATAAACACATACACAAATCCATGTCTATATTTTTAATATACGAAGAAATAGATAACATATATAAATATTTGCATCAACATATACATAAATACAAATTAAAACATAGATATTTATGCATGGAACTTTTTAGAGCTCTTTCCCTTTGTGGTGCTGTGCCTCCAGGCAGGAACAAGAAAGCCTACATATGTAAATTAATACGTAAAAACATGTATTACTTAGTAAACATACATAACCACATAGATTTATATACAAATATGGATGTATGTATGTACATATATTCATATATAAATATTTGTATGTATGTATATTCATATATAAATTATACACCCCCAAGCATGTGGGCATACACACACACACACACACACATAAACTGTACATAACCCAAAAATCTCACACAAAGACACACACCCTCCCACACACAGATGCACGTACTTTTACACTCCTGGCTGTTGGGCAATGCTGCCACCTACTGGCAGGGAGCCAAAAAGCCACATTACATGGCCCCTTTGCAGATGGTAAACACCCACTGTTTTTGAGGCCTACCGATAGTGCTTTGTTTGTATGTATGTATGTATATATGTGCACATATATATATTTCATATAGAATATACAGTTAATATAGCTATATTACATCATGATGAAATTGAGTGTAATCTCTATAATAGAGAAAAATATATACATCTATAAATATAAATGTATAAAACAAACACAGCCAGAAAATAAACACACACAAACAAAAAACAGATGCAAATACATTTATACTAGGGATCATTGGGCCCTCTTGCCACCTGCAAATATATTTATGTGAAATCGTTTGTAAAAGCTATGATATATAGTTAGAAATATATATACATATATAAATATAAATGTATACAATAAATACAACCCTGTTTTATGCAAAAAATCTCCAAGTAAAGGGCATCTAAATTTAGTAAACTTTGCTGTGCAATAAATGTTGCAAATAAGATCTTTGAAAATGTCCTCCATGGCTTCTTCTCTGGGGAATATTCCCAGGATGTGATGGTTGGGACATAAAGTATACGCATAATTATTTTCACTAAGTGCGAAGAAAATCTCCAAGTGTGTCTGAATCTTTGAGATAAAGCATGAACATGTCCACCTACATTTCCACTAATTATGGCATAATCCAAATTTCTAAAATTAATAAATTGATATAAAGTGCTCTTTTGTGTCATTTATCTCATGACTAATTTTTCTGAGTTCCCCTTCACATATTTTTAACTATTAAAGTTTTTCCTACTTTGAATTACCTATTCATATGCTTCTCGGTGTTCTGTTGGATTTCCCAAGTCTTTTCTTGTTAATGTAAAATAGTTTCTTAAAAAGGAATCATTACAATTATGGAATGAAGTGTTTTGTGTGTCTAAGAATCCTAGTTTCTTCCGGGTATTTTTTTCTCCCATTTTTTCTTAGTAACTACAGCCCCACATATTCAGTTGCTAACATCATCATCCATGTAGATACTACACTTCTTAGCCTCCCTTGCAGGTCAGTGTGGCCATGGAACTAAAGTCAGGAAAGTGAGGTAGAGGCGGAATTGTTTGTCTGTGACTTCCAGGGACTTTCCTTATGGGAGGAGGTCTTTTGTTTTTTCTACTCCTTTTTCATGACTGTAGCTTGGGATGCAGTTGTGTTTCCTGGAGCTCCAGCAGTCGTATGTGACTATGAGGAAGTGAGCTGTGCCCTGGGCACAGCTGGGGAGTGCGGAATTTTGATGGCTCATGAAGCGGAGCTGCCACAGCAAACCTGGATGGCCAAGCCTCTGCCTGATTTTACATGAGCAAGAAGTATGCTAACTTCTCTAAGGGACTGTTATTTTGGGGATTCTCTGTCACCTTCAATTGAACCTTATTCTATGTAAGAGAGGCTACATATAGATCTACTCCATAAACACTGATCATAGAGAAGGATCATGGATGACACAGGCAATGTGGCTTTGCCATCATGAATCGGTCAAGATTATTCCATTTTCACTTCTGGGTACCTTGAATGTGGTGTTTGACACGTGTTTCTTTTTCCCTTATCACAATTTTAGCTCATTTAACGACTGCTGGGCTAACCATGGCACATTCTTTTTCTGCATGTATCATACATCAAGGTTCATGTCACTGTGTGATATCAGTGTCATTGTGACATCTGTAAGAGGATACAGGAGCAACAGTGCAACAGAGTCACCTCTTGCAGCTGATGTATTCCCTTAGGTTTAAGTGAACAGGAAAGTAGACAGATTGGCAACAGGGAGCTCAAAAACAGTCTGTCAGATGAGGTCACAGAAACTATGTGCAAATTTAATACAATTAGTTTGGTGAGGAGAGAAGAGGCTTTCGTGGAGAGAGAGAAGGATCTGAGCTCTCAGGATGCACTGGGAGCAGAGAAAGGCAGGTGCAGTAAGATGGCGCAGCTCTGTCCTCAGCTGCATGTGCCTCTGCACAACAGGTTTCTATTCGGGAAGGGCAGCGTAGTTCTTCTCACATTTTTCCCCTTTGTTTTCTCCCAGGCTTCAGGGTAAAGCAGAAGATTCATGAGAGGGTGTCTGCAGGCTGGTCCTAAAGTGCTTTTCTCCACAGGAATGTCACCTGGGCACTGCAGCCAGGGGTCCCAGGTGCCACTGAGTAGGGCTGCATTCCCATCTTCAGTGAGGGAGAGCTGAGAGAAGGCAGGCAGGATTCACACTTCCCTCACCCACTTGCTTAAGCAATACATTAAAGGTTCAAACTAAAAGAAACCTGAGATCTTACAGAAGCATTTAGAACCATGTATAAAGTGTGGATCACTTTTAAATATTTGAAAATGCACACAAACCACATGAAGCTACTTCAGGTGAAGGATTTCTGGCTAAATGGACTTGACAAGATTCTTGCTGAATGCAAGCTGGGGTGATAAGATAATCACTGGGGAAATGGTGGGGAATAAGGAATTGGATCAGATATCAAGGGTGGGAGATTCTGGCAAAACCAACTTGGCAGGAGTCTTGCTAAAACTGGGCTCTGGAGAACACTCTAAGGATGAGGCCTAGTCAAAAAAGAGCTCAGAGAAGCCTGTCTAGAGTTTTGTTAGGGACAGCCTCTTTGTCGTTGTTTGTATACATACACAGATACACAAATAAATACACATATATAAATACAATTAGTTTATTCCAGTTGATATACTTATTTAAAGTTGCATTGGTTTTTGAGTACCGCAAATTTACCAGCTTAAAACAACACAAATGAATTATCTCATAGTTCTGTGGGTCAGGAATCTGGGCACAGGTTGGCTGGGCCCTCTGCTCGGGGTGGCGTCTCATTTCAGAATTCAGATCATCTTTCAAGCCATGTAACTAGGTAAGTGGAGGCTCCTGATGAAATGTCCTACAGGGGCATGGATTAGGAGAAACCCCATGAGCTTTAAACCCTGAGAGTCAAGGCTAGATTCATTCCCAAAGAGCATACTTAAAGAGTGGAAGAGGCACTTTCAGAAGAGGCTGTGGGACAGAAACCAAAAAAGGCAGTCTTTGTTGTTGCCAATAACAACAGAAATGTCATTTGCCCCATCAGTACCTTGAAATAACGCAAGATAACAACCTCCTTTTGTCTAAGTCCTAGAAACGTCATAACTTGCTTGTCCTGCACAGTCTGGGTTTATAGCTCTTGAACCACCCCCTGTCCATTTGGCATTGGCATGAATAGTGATGTTTTCTCATTTAAAATAAAATAAAATATTTAACTGCTGCCTTAAAAATACTCTAGGATGGATTTTAATACTGTTCCCTTTTCACTTCTGGCTTCTGCCCCTCTTTCCAAACTGACCTAGCATCTCAGTGTCACTGGCCTCACGAAGGGTGCCTGTGGCTGTAATGAGGTTGTGCACTGACACCGATGCCTGGGATAGCAGAATCCTTCCACGCCTGGGTGGAGGTGGGAGAGTCAGCTGCTGTCCCTGGTGCTCCCACAGCTCGACCTCAGCTCACCTCGGCTGCTTGAGCCACAGTCCTTGCTAGGGCCTGGAGATGCACAAGGCCAGGTGGAATGGTCAGAGGGACACCCGCGAAACTACAGGTTAAGTGCAAGAAAACAAATGCAGGCAAAGAAGACCTCGCTATAGTGACTCTGTGTAGAAAAAAACTGTAATTATTTATTTTACTGTTTGTAACTTTTTTTGCAATAATCCTTGCCGTACAAATGATCTAAAAAAGTACATTTTGGTTTGAAAATAAACACATAACTGGATTTCCATTCTCAAGAAAGCAGATGATAAATATATAACCTATGTAAAATGTTTATAGCCTCATCCACTAAGGGTCTATAGTGATATCACTGACCACATAAATATAGAAGACACATGTCTCTTAAAAAAGTGTTATCATAAACTTGAACATGTGATAGTTATTTTAAGGAACCTATGCCTATAAAGAACGTAAAACATGAAAATATGTAAAGTACATTTACCTATTACACTGCAAAAAATGTTTCATATTTATTTAGATTGACTGTTTCTCTAAATTAATTTTGTTCACTTTAGATTGTAAATTCTTGGCATATAAAAAAATTAAGTGATAGCTGTAAGAGGTTGTCTGGAATACCCCAAAGAGAATTGTTCACACTGTGAAATAATGTCACTACCATACTGATGTCACGAGATGCTTCAAATTAAAGAGCAGTTAATTCTAATAATAGGTTGCTTTTAATCCTTTTTATGGAATCAAAGTATAGCTTTTCATCCTGTCAAAGGTGAAATTCCTGACATTATTTTAGATGCTACTGTAAATTTAGAAGAACAAAAAATTCACTGATTTTTAGTATATTAACTACGTTGCACAACCATCACTATTATCTAACTCCAGAGTATTTCCATCATCCCCAAAAGAAACCCTGTACCTATTAGCAGTCAGTCCCAATTCTCCCTTCCTCCCATCTCCTGGCAACCACGAATCTACTTTTTGTCTCTATGAATATACCTATTGTGGACATTTCATATAAATGGAATCATAAAATATATGGTCTTTTGTGCCTGGCTTCTCTCACTTAGCACAATGTTTTCAAGGCTCATCTATATTGTAGCATGTAGCAACATAAATTCATTTTTATAGCTGAATAGTTTTTGGATAGATCACAGTTTTGTTTATCCATTCATCAGCTGATAGGCATTGAATTGCTTCTTTTTTTTTTTTTTTTTTTGTCTATTTTGCGTAATGCTGCTCCAAACATTCTTGCACAGTCCTTATTGATTTTTAGGGCGACGATCATGGATCCCAGGCAACCATCATGGGTTGATCAGCAATTGAGTAAATCTGAAACCAGTATTTTATTTTTAGGTACTTTTCAGTTTCTGTTATGATCTTGACAACAGGGAGTGCTGGGTTCTGGAACATGATTATGTTCTAGGAATTGGAGATTGCTATATTTTCTAAAATCTGTAGATGTGGAACACAGTGAGGTCTAATTTTGTATGCTCTGTGAATGCTTTGGATCCTTAAAAAGGGAGGCTCCTGAGGGACTTAGCAGCAAACAGACACAATTTCTGAGGTCCAGAAGGAACTGCACCCACTCCACAGAAAGACAGTCAGGCTGCAGTCCCTGAAAAAATGCAGGTGGAGAATTCATAGAATTGAAATTGAACAGAATGAGAAGCTGGGGAGAATGATTTTGCATTTAAGGTTGGGATTTGGGACTTTCATTTATTTGGATTCATACCACACAACAAAGACAGCAGGTTTTTTTTTTCTTTCAGATTTTCACCCTTTTAGACTTTAAATTAGATATTTGGGATTTTAATTTTTTAAAGGTTTTCATATTTGAATTTAATCATATCATTGGAAATTATTAATGGGAGGGAGATTATATTTAACTTTAGAGCATCAGTATGTATTAACATATGATGGTTGGAATATTTTAGTGTTGTTATTTAATCTCATAGCATAAACTTTGAGGGCTATATTGGGCAATATATAGCTGGACAAAATCTGAAATATGAAATAGAACAGAAATGAAGTTTCAGCTTTAAATTCAGAATGGCCATCAATGACCTTAATGACTTCAATTAATATACAATCCTGTTCCACATCAGAGTCTGGAGCAAAATCTAATTCTTTCAGCACAAAGAAAGATCCCAGAAGGTCCCAGAAAAATCCACAAAAGAGAATACAAGGGCAACTATTTTATTAGAACAAATATTTCTTTATGATGGTTAATGTATACATGATAGTTCTATGCTAAGAATGCCTCACTGGCGTAATCTTTTGAGGGCATCCAAAGAAATAATTAGAGACCCACATTTAGAGTAAAAATTTAAAAGATGTAACACAAGATAAGTCTTCTATTCAAAGGTAAGAAAAAGCACAGGAAATGATGATTATATTATCACTTACTCTTCCATCTGTACGATGGAAAGTTTGTTTTGCTGTAGATTTTTAAAGCAGCTTGAACTTAGAAATATTAAAGTGTGGAAAAAAAACCCTAAGAACTTTCCTCTCGTAGTACAATCTTTGTTTGCATCCTCCATTACCAGGTGTATAAAAGTGGTGATCAGTGTTTTCACCTTGGACCAAAGTGGAGGATAAATTTGCCAGCTCTTCCAGTGTGGGCCCTGGGAAATAGGCTGGAAACCCACTATGTTCTTTCTGCCTCCTGAACTGCCCATACTAAGTGGGGTTTACCCACATTTCTTTTATTTGCTTCTTCTTTGCATACTTCTTTCTTGAAAGTGAGTCACTTTTCCAGTTCAGTTATTTTATCTAAATTTGGTTCTAGGTTTGTGGTATAAGTTTGGACCTGTTTCTAGCTTCAGTATGGAATTACATGCTTCTCAATGTTTTTACTTTTTAGATTCACTTTGGGGGGAAGAGACATTTAAAGAATCTGTGATTACATGGCCATTGAATCCAATAGTATTCTACTTCTAAAAATGTTTCAGACTTTTTGAAAAATATCTGGCATATTCATTTGATTAATGAATGTGCATTATGGCAGGTGCTGATGAAGAATGCCATACATATTTAAAGTGATCTGTAGATTTTTTTAAGTTGGAAAAAAATTCTATGAAAAGTCTCATCTAGCTGCCAAAGTCTAGTAGTGTTGGGGAAAATCACATTGTTGTTGTTTTTTTTTTTTTTTCCAAACAGGATTAAATGAAATGTTGCATAACTAGAGTTTACTATTCCACCTGGCATGGGGTGAGTGTCCAAAAAATGTTGCCTTTTGTTACTATTACTCCTTTTTGTTTTTTTTGTTTTTTTTTTTGAGAGTCTCACTTTGCTGCCCAGGCCGGAGGGCAGTGGTACCATCATAGCTCACTGCATCCTCGAACTGTGGGGCTCAAGCCATCCTCCTGCCTCAGTCTCCTGAGTAGCTAGGACTACAGGTATGCATCACCACAGCAGGCTAATTTTTTAGAAAACTTTTTTTTGGGTAACGATTCTTTTTTTCAAGTGATTCTCCTGCCTCAACCTCCCAAGTAGCTGGGACTTCAGGTGCATACCACCATGCCTGGCTGATTTTTAAAACATTTTTTTTTGAGACAGAGTCTCGCTCTGTTGCCCAGGCTGGAGTGCAGTGGTGCAATCTCGGTTCACTGCAACCTCCGCCCCCCAGGTTGAAGCAATTCTCTGCCTCAGCCTCCTAAGCAACTGGGATTACAGATTCCCACCATCTGTATTGTTAGTAGAGACAGAGTTTCACCATCTTGGCCAGGCTGGTCTTTAACTCCTGGCCTCAGGCAATCCTCCTACCTCAGCCTCCCAAAGTGCTGGGATTACAGGTGTGAGCCACTGCAACCAGCCTTATTATTTCTCTTATTCTGCTCAGCCGCATATAATCTAAGGCACATGCGTTTACCCTACGCTTACATAAGACCTTCTCACTTTCTCTTTTTCTCTTCCACTTCTTCTCCCCAAACCCCACTCTCTCATTCCTCACTTCTCTCTCTTTCTCTTTGATGTGGCCATTTCCACAATCATGCTCTAAATCGTGGTCTATTTTGATTCCCATCTTTTCTATCAATAACTCTACCAGGCAGTTAATTTCTATATTTATGTTTTGTTCTTATAAAGAATTTTCTATTAAATATTGAGGTATGTTATTAAACTTAAAAATAAATTATTTAAATTATGATATCAATTTAGACTGACGTCCTATCTCCTAGTATAAATACAAGCCATCCAAACATTATTGCTTTTGGGGAAATTCCTTTAATTTTCATGACCTGATCTGCCCATGGGTTTACCAGACTGTCTTTGTAATGCAGAGGAAAGCCTTCTCTGCTTTTCTTTCTTTTTTAAAAATATATTTTATTTGTAATTTTATTTTTTTAATTTTATTTATTTATTTATTTTTTGAGATAGAGTCTCACTCTGTCACCCAGGCTGGAGTGCAGTGGCTCGATCTCTTCTCACTGCAGTCTCCACCTCCCAAGTTCAAGCGATTCTTGTGCCTCAGCCTACTGAGTAGTGGAATTACAGGTGAGTGCCACCATGTCCGGCTAATTTTTGTATTATTAGTAGAGACAGGGTTTCACCATGTTGGCCAGGCTGATCTCGAACTCCTGATCTGAAGTGATCTGCCCACCTCAGCCTCCCAAAGTGATGGGATGACAGGCGTGAGCCACTGCGCCCGGCCGGCTTTTCCGTGGCACCACTTGACATTCATAGTGAGTCCGCCCTTGGCACTTCCTCCAGTCTAGCCCCACTTGCATTTGTGTAGGAAAAGTTCCACAAAATATGAGGTATTTCGGATGACATCTTGGCTCATGCCTATCTTGGCTTTTTTTTTTTTTTTAAACAATCCAACAATTTCTGAGAAGGTGTTTGACTCTTCTCTTCTCAGAGCACTATGTCTTCTGGAAGTCAATCTGCATTTTCAGGGACTGTTGAAAGTCAAGTTATGTGCTGTTTCTAATGTCCTGGGCCATCTCTCAAGACATTCGCTGATTACTGTGTTAATGTCTAAAAATTGGTTTGAGCTTTTTTTTTTTTTCTTTTCTTTTCTTCCATGAATGCATCGTCTCAGCTTTCAGAATTAAAGCCTGCCTCTGATCCAAAAATTAAAGTGTAATCATGGACACGATTTTTACAGGAAATCGGAGTTTCCTAGCTGAAAAAGCAGTGAAATTGACTGTCAAGGAAAGGTGTCTACACTTTTAACAAATATTCTAAAGAAGAAACAAAGAAGCTTTATTGGGGTGTATCAGAATACTGAGGGAAATGATTACTTAAAATGGGCCTGATTTTGGCAATGATTATTTAATATATGAAAAAAGTGAGGCCGGGTGTGGTGGCTCATGACTGTAAACCCAGTGCTTTGGGAGGCTAAAGCAGGAGGATTGTTTGAGCCCAGGAGTTGGAGACCAACCTGGGCAGCATAGTGAGACCCCACTTTTATACAAATTTTTAAAATAATTCGGCCAGGCATGGTGGTGTGCACCTGTAGTCCCAGCTATTTGGGAGGCCGAGGCAGGAGAATCACTTGAGGCTAGGAGTTCGAGACCAACTTGGGCAACACAGTGAGACTGTCTCGAAAAATAAATAAATACATTAGCCGGGCACGGTGGTGTGCAGCTTTATTTCTAGCTGCTTGGGAGGCTGAGGCAGGAGGATCACTTGAGCCCAGGAGTTTGAATTGCAGTGACAGCTATAATCAAGCCACTGCACTTCATAAGCCTAGGTGACAGAGCGAAACCATCTCTAAAAAAAAAAGGTAAAATTTTTTATTTTTACATATTTGTAACCACAAGATGGCACCAATTTCCCATTTAAAAGCTTGGCATATGGGTGTTTTTCATTTTTTACATATTTTTCCAAGATTACAAGCTGTTGGGTGAGGTTTGGTTACCACCTTCCCTCAAATATGGACTCCTAGACTATAAAACTAGGGCCATTGCATTAAGTAAGAATCCATATGTGCAATTAGGTTTGTAATTTGCATTCTCTGTATCACGACTTCAATGTGGAAGGAGTGACTCTAATGAATAAGGACGAATGCTTAGTGCATTTCTTCACAAATGTTAAGTTCCAGAGTAAGTTTCAAACCCAAAGCCACATATTGGCAATTTTATGAGGCTTCTCTCATGCAAAGTCCTCAGATCTTTGTTCTTGAAAAGGAAAAAACTGTATGACTACACCTATTCACCACCCAGCCAATTAAAAGCAGGAAGCACTTTGGATATCTGTTTGCATGCTTCAGGATCAGGCTATATGTGTTGTCTTTGTTATATGATTTCTAATGCATTTATGAGTTTTGATGGCCAAGACCAATAATCAAAGCAGATTGCATGTAATTACTCTCTTGGTAGTTTTTCTTGATTATCCCATAAATGGGATTTGCATTTCTGAAAATGCCTACAAAATAGAATTTGGCCAAACATTCTATGATCACATTTTCTGTGATGTTGGTTTTAAAGTGACTTGAAATTGTGAAATCCTTCTGTGTCAGTTTTATTGCTCTGAGACTCTAGCCTCTGGTGAGTTTGGGAGGGGGCCTGGAAATGAGATGGCATCAGATTAAACGTGTCTGTTATATACTTATTTCTGTATTAATTTACAGGTGTTAGAACATCTGCTCCAAAAGACTTCAGGCAAAGATGGAATTTATTTTCTCACTTAACTGAAAAAGTCCACAGGTAGCCTTGCTGCCAGTATAGTTGGATTCTGGGCTCAAACAATATCGTTAGGGCTTGGGTGTTTTTTTTTTTTTTTTTTTTTTTTTTCTGTGTTTCTCCTCTCTGCCTCCCGCTGGATTGAATTCATGTGCAACCTCCTCGTCATCACTTCTGGAACTTCTAGGCTCTCTGTGCTTTATGACAAGATGACTGCAGCAGTCCTAAGCTCAGGTGAGTCCAAGATGTAAGCCCAGTAGGAAACAGGGAGCTCTTTTGCTTACAAGGCTAGGAATTATTCTTGTGTCTGCAAGCACCAAGGCCAGGGGAACGTGATGTGCTTACTGGCTTGGGCCTGAGACATGTGGTCCACGCCTGAGGCAGCAATAGAGCCCACCTAGCGCACGTGAACTAGATTGAAGAAGGAATAATCTGCAAGTTAAGCTAGGAGGGCTGTTATCAGAATGGATGTGGCAAAATCTAATTCTAGAAAGGTTTTATATAGCCCTGAGCCTAAGCATAAAATATACTGAGTTCAGAGGTTGATATGGTTTGGCTCTCTCCCCATCCAAATTTCATCTTGAATTGTAGCTCCCATAATTCCTACATGTTGTGGGAGGGGCCTGGAGGGAGATAATTTAATTAAGGGGGCGGTTTCACTCATATGCTTCTCGTGGAAGTAAGTCTCACGAGATCTGATGGCTTTATAAGGGGAATCCCCGTTTGCTTGGTTCTCATTTGCTGTTTGTCTGCTGCCATGTTAGATGTGCCTTCCACCTTCCGCCATGATTGTGAGGCCTCCCCAGCCATATGGAACTGTGAGTCCATTAAACCTCTTTTTCTTTATAAATTACCCAGTCTGGGGTATGTCTTTATCAGCAATGTGAAAACAGACTAATACAGAGGGGTTCTTCATACCTTGAAAATATTATTCTTCGAGTGACAATTTTAAAATCTTTGGAAAATGACAAAGCTAACAGGTCGGTGACTGGGTCATCACTTGCATTCTTACTTAGGGCAAACACTGGTAAAATTATGTAGGCAGAATTTTCTCTGGTGGCATCTCACATATCTTTTCTTTATTTATCCTCACTGGTATCTCTCAGTTGAGATACCAGTTCTCCAGTTCTTCTCCAGCATCTGTGTACATTCCAGAACTTTCTTACACCCTACCCTGGAAACTCATCTTTCCTGAATATCCTTCGTGTTTGTTGTAATTTAGGGACTTGATATTACCTACTGGACTTTCAATGCTTTAATTCAAAGACTGACCAATAATATCGATTAATCCTATGCGTGTTCATATGACTCATTATGTTATGAACTTATTGAGTGCATGGAATATGTTTTATTCATCTCTGTGACTCATGCTTAGCTCTCAATAGACATTGGTAAAATGAACAAAAAGATCTGAAATTTAAGACAGATGTTACCGGAGTCTGTTCTTCTCAGAGCTTGTAAACACTGCTTATGCTGACAAAGAATTCCTAACCTGCGTGCCTAATGATAGCTCTTAAAATATTGTTGCACATGGTGGTTAAGGCCAATACTGTAGGATCTACGGGAAAGCTACTACTGCAAGTGTTGTTTTGGGGCTTATCAAATGGTATCTTCTTTTCTAATTCATGTTAATCCTTTTGTATTCTTTCATTTTTAGAGGTAACAGGGAACCATCTTAGCTGTTCACATTACTTTCAAAAATAAGCTGGCACAGAACATTATGTGATCATCTATGAGTTTTCTTTTCTCTGGATTAGAGTAAAATAAATAGCTTGTGCCAGGTAAACAGCAGGGATTGCACAGGTGAAATGTGGTAACCTGGGATTACTATTAAATGCAGGCACTTCATGGTCCATGCCTGGTAAAGAGATCAGAGGGCTATTCAAGTGAAGGATGATTGGTTCCAAAGTGAGTATGATTGAATTAATGAGGAGATGTCTGGATTAATTTAGAAAATGTCTGATTAAGGATAATAAATAATATCAAATATTATCTATAATTCATGCAAAGGGTTTAGTAGGAGACGTGTTGCCTAAATGTGGACAAGGGTCATAATTGTCCTTTTCTTTTCCTTAGAATACAATTTTTTTTTTTGAGACGGAGTCTCACTCTGTCTCCAGGCTGGAGTGCAGTGGCACAATCTTGGCTCACTGCAACCTCCGCCTCCCGGGTTCAAGCGATTCTCCTGCCTCAGCTTCCTGAGTAGCTGGGACTACAGGTGTGCACCACCACGCCCAACTAATTTTTGTATTTTTAGTAGAGACAGGGTTTCACCATGTTGGCCAGGATGGTCTCGATCTCCTGACCTTGCGATCTGCCCACCTCGGCCTCCCAAAGTGCTGGGATTATAGGCGTGAGCCACTGCACCTGGCTTTTTTTTTTTTTTTTTTTTTTTTTTTTAGAAGGAGTCTCACTCTGTCACCCAGGCTGGAGTGCAGTGGCATGATCTCAGCTCACTGCAACCTCCGCCTCCGGGGGTTCAAGCGATTGCTAGCTTATTTTTGTATTTTTAGTAGAGACAGGGTTTCACCATGTTGACCAGGTTGGTCTCAAACTCCTGACCTCATGTGATCCAGCCGCCTCTGCCTCCCAAAGTGCTTGATCTATTTGAGTTCATGTAGAAGGAGTATATTCTGAAGGCAAGTGCCACAGCATGTAGAAGTGTGCTTTGTTACAAGGGTGGGATTAAAATACTTGGAATCTCAATGGAAGAGAAAGGAGTATCTCTTGGAGTTTTGCAGGCAAATAGGCAAGTAGGCAATCTAAATGGGTTTATGCAAAGAGAAGCCAAATATAAAGTGGTTTTGGCCAGGAGTTCCCCGGCTAAGTCCAAGGGTATGAGTTGGCTGAGCCTATTGCCAGGGTGAGAAGGGTGCAGTGGCTCATGCCCGTAATCTCAGCATTTTTGGAGGCTGAGGCAGGTGGATTGCCTGAGTCCAGGAGTTTGAGACAAGCCTGGGCAACACAGAGAAACCCTGTCTCTACTAAAAATACAAAAAAATTAGCCAGGCATGGCCGTGCACCTGTAGTCCCAGCTACTCAGGAGGCTGAAGGAGAAACACCTGAGTCCGAGAGGTTGCGGCTGTAGTGAGCCATGATTGCAACACTGCACTCCAGCCTGGGCAACCAGAGTGAGATCCTGTCTCAAAAAAGAAGTCAAAGAGCTGTACTCAAAGTTAGGATCTCCTGGAAACAGTATTTTAAAGTGATGGGAGTACTGTGGGAGTTTGAGGAGGAAGAAAGAAGAGGATAGGGGAGGAGAAACATGCCCAAGGGAGAAACAAAAATATACAAGACAACTCCACCTACTTCTCAGCTGCGGTCTGACTTTGCTGACATATTCCGGCTTGGCCAACTGTCCTCAGGCCTTCAAAAAGTGAATGAAGGGAACCAGTGAGGAACCACCTAACTTCTTGTCATAAGTGTTAATTTTTCTTTTTTGAGACAGAGTCTCTCTTTGTCACCCAGGCTGGAGTGCAGTGGCACAATTTCAGCTCACTGCAATATCGACTTCCCAGATTCAAGTGATTCTCCTGCCTCAGCCTCCTGAGTAGCTGGGATTACAGGCATGTGCCACCATGCTCAGCTAATTGTTTTATTTTTAGTGGAGACGGGGTTTCACCATGTTGGCCAGGCTGGTCTTGAACTCCCGACCTCACGTGATCCACCAAAGTGCTGGGATTACAGGTGTGAGTTACCACGCCTGGCCTATAAGTGCTAATTTTCTAGCTACAGTCATGAGAACCTCCTATGTATGCCATACATTCTCTTTATCATCTGGTTTCCTCAAGAAGCAGGCATGCTTCTTGAATTTGCAAACAAAAGCTATTTTTACATGATTTTTCCTAACCCTGGATGATTTTTACATTCACTAAGACTTAGTTATTATTGGGCAAAAGCTGGTTAAGAAACATTGTTCATATATTTTTCTGAGTGCTTATGAGGGATACCTAAATATCAGTTTTTAAAAAACATTATTTGATAGGAAAATAATATTAGGATAAGTAGCTGGGCACAGTGGCTCACGCCTGTAATCCCAGCACTTTGGGAGGCTGAGGCAGGAGGATCACCTGAGGTCAGAAGTTCAAGACCAGCCAGGCCAACGTGGTGTAACCCCATTTCTACTAAAAATACAAAAATTAGCCGGTTGTGGGGGCAGGTGCCTGTAATCCCAGCTACTCAAGAGGTTGAGGCAGGAGAATAGCTTGAACCCAGGAGGTGGAGGTTGCAGTGAGCTGGGATCGCGCCACTGTACTCCAGCCTAGGTGACAGAGCAGAACTCCATCTCAACAAAATAAAATAAAATAAAATAGAAAAACATATAGAAGTAGACAATAGAATGGTGGTTACCAAGAAACGGAGTTAGGGAGATACAGGAAGTTGTTGTTCAATGCATGTAAAGTTACAGTTATACAAGATGAGTAAATTCCAGAGATCTGCTGTGCAACTTAGTATCTACAGTTGGCAATAAGGCATTGTGCACTTAAACATTTGTTAGGACAGTAGATCTCATGATAAGTGTTCCTTTTTTTCTTATAGTATTGGCTTTACTGGTTTTTGGAATTAAAACCATCTTGTAACTATTAAGAATTAGGAAGAAGAAACAGTAGTAGAAGTTATAAAATCCCTCTGAAAGGGCAACTAATTTCTCATCAAAATTAAAAACCTTTAAAGTAGCTGAGGTAGTTGGAGTCACTTTATGGGGAGGATGAAGTCAAGATAGGGTAAGGAGCATTCAGAAAGAATTATTTTCGGCAAGGTAAGATGTTTTTCCTTTCAGTAGGATGTATTCATAAAGCAAGGTAGTCACTAATAGCTGGCCTTTAAGACTTAACTGTAGTATGGATAGGGTTAGATACCCACTGCTTGAGCTTTTTAGTTGTACTCCAGGAATCTAAAATCTGTCCTGGCAATTAATGAATTAGAACATCCTTCTCACCCCGTCAATTGAAACTGAGAAGGTTTGTTCAAGGTATTTCCTACAATTTTCCCCAAAAGTCAGGTTCAGAAGTGAATTTCTGGGCTGGCATATGCAGCTTCCACACACAGACCTCTCAATACGACTTATTAAAAGAACATTGTTGGCTTGGAGCTGGTTTATTTTGAAGACTCCACGGGACAGTTTGTGGCAAGGTTCAAGAGGCTACAGGGTATTTTGTAGTAATTACATTCAACTGGTAATGCAAGGGTAAGGCACATGGACAGCCATTTACGGTAAGGAATAAAGAATCCTGTTATCTTTGCCATTATGTGATATAACAGCCTGCACTTCTGATCTCTGTAGAGCTATTTTGCTTGTGGCCAGTCTGAGTTTAGGACAAATGTCCTTTAGCTTGTTGCCTGCCTCCTTCGGCTGGGTTCCATGTATCTGTTATAATCCTTGAATAATGAACCCCAACCAGTCAGAAAATATCCATGAAGAATGTTTTGAAATGACATTAAGAGCTGGTAACATTAAATATGAAGTAGTAATTGTAACTGGTAGAGACAAGATAATAGAATTTAGGTTTTCAGTAAATCAAGGGTGGGTTTTTTTTTTTTTTTTTTTTTTGCGTGTGTGTTTTGAGACAGGGTCTTTACTATGTTACCCAGGCTGGAGTGCAGTGGTGTAATCTTGGCTCACTGTAGCCTCAACCTCTTTGAGCTCAAGCAATTCTCCCATCTCAGCTTCCTGAGTAGCTGTGACTACAGGCATAAGCCACCGTGCCTGGCCAGTAAATCAAGTTTTGTACTTTTCTTTGGCATCTAATAAATTAAACCAAGTTACTCAAGAGATGCACTTTTGGGGATTACATGACACTCTAAAGCATGTAAATATTTTCTTGATCTTGACATTTTTGGTTCCATAATGTAAATTTATTTTAAGGTATTTGTGTAGCCTATTCTGGAAATACATGTTAGAAATCAGTGAGGTTTCTAATTGCCATGCCATACCACTTAGCTGAGACAAATTACTCTTTCTTCACCTTTAGATTGTAAAAGATAAAACTCTCCTTAGTTCATATATGAGATATGTGGAGTAACAGGGTAATAGTTGTTCTGTACTGAATTCCAAGGGCAAATAATGATAGAAATGAAATGTTACACTTTATTCCATCTCCATGATTTCAGACATTATAGGACAGGGTGAGTAAACAAGGCAAATAAAGCAAACACCTTTTCCCCCATTTAACCATATGCAGCAGTTTGACATTTTTTATGATCTGCAGGTTGACTTAATTCTTGACTTGAGTTGAAAGCTGCCAGCAGCAAACTGTGCAATTTAGACTTTTCCTCCATAGCCACTCTGAATATCTTTATTCCTGAACTACACTGTGAGCTCTGAAATGGTGTTCACTGCAACATTCTTGAAGCTTTCACATCTTAACCTCTTGTTAAGGCAGGGGATTGTTTTAAAAGCTTCTTCTTTGCTTATCCAGGCTGCCAGCAATCTTAACTGCAAGTTACCATGTAAAAATAAAATTCTGCTCTGAAGCACTGACTGAAACTGTTGTGCCCAGATCCCTTTCAGAGCATTAGTTCCCTGAGAGAAAAAGGAGGTCCTAACCAATTGCTTTCATGAACAATGACCCCAGTACAAGTGTACATAATGTCACTTGTAGCAAAAATCAAGAGGTCAGGCAACCTTGATCATCCTGACTAGTTTATCATTATTTTCATACAAGGTATATTTACAGCTGATCCCAGACTAAGTATTGCAATCATAATCCCAAGAAATTGTTCAGTTTTAGCACCCTGGGTTCCTAGAAGATACCAGAGCAAGTGAGAAATCATCATCTTTTTTTGTTGTTGTTGAGACAGAGTCTCGCTCTGTTGCCAGGCTGGAGTGTGCAGTAGCACTATCTCAGCTCACTGCAACCTCCGCCTCCCTGGTTCAAGGGTTCTCCTGCCTCGGCCTCCTGAGTAGATGGGACTACAGGCACGTGCCACCATGCCCAGCTAATTTTTGTATTTTTAATAGAGACGAGGTCTCACCATGTTGGCCAGGATGGTCTCGATCTCTTGACATCATGATCTTCCTGCCTTGGCCACTCAAAGTGCTGGGATTACAGGCATGAGCCACCATGCCCGGGCCGAAATCATCATCTTCTACAAGTGAGAGGAAAACATCAAGAAGAAGGAAACGAAACTCGCCTTGCCTAAATTCCTCATCAAATCTGATGGCTGTCTTCACAGACTTAGTTGACAAAATCCAGAGTTCTCAATTTCTTGATTTGAAGAATCCATTTTCAAGGTGACCATCAAGGTCAAGAAGACTCTTCATACTTTTCTTCACCATGGCCCGTGAACTCAGTCCTTCAACAGAGATTCTCTCTGTTGTTGCTTTCTGAACACACTGCAGGTAATGCTTGAAGAGGTTGGAGCACGGCTCCCCAGAGCTGTCGCCCTTGAGAAGCTTCTCCACAAACCAACAACTGAAGCATTGATCATACGATTGAAGCTCCATGTGTGTGTGAGTCTGTACGACATTGTTCATGGCAATGGTGGTGGTGGTGGCAATGGCGGCATACTCTCTCATGTTAGGTGTTCTTACCATGAAAACAGCAATACTGAAGCAACAAAGGGACACAAAGAAACTTTTGGAGATGATGGATATACTTGTTACTTCGATTGTGGTGATGATCACATGAGTGTATACATATGTCCAAGCTCGCCATATTATATACATTAATTATGTGAAGTTTTTAATTTATTTAATTCCAACTTTTATTTATTTATTTATTGAGATGGAGTCTGCTCTGTCACCCAGGCTAGAGTGCAATGGTGCAATCTCTGCTCACTGCAACCTCCGCCTCCCGGGCTCAAGCAATTCTCCTGCCTCAGCCTCCCGAGTAGCTGGGATTACAGGCACCCACCACCATGCCCAGCTAATTTTTGTATTTTTAGTAGAGACAGGGTTTCATCATTTTGGCCAGGCTGGTTTCAAACTCCTGACCTCAAATGATCTGCCCACCTTGGCCTCCCAATTGCTGGGATTACAGGTGTGAGCCACTGTGCCCAGCCTCAACTTTTATTTATTTTTAACTTTTATTTTTGTTTCAGGGGGACACATGCAGGTTTGTTCTACAGATAAACTGCATGTTCTGGGGGTTTGGTGTACAGAGTATTTCATCACCCAGGTAATAAACACAGCATGAATGAAACTCAGTAAGTAGCTTTTCAATTTTCACCCTCCTCCCACCTCCACCCTCAAGTAGGCCCCGGTGTCTACTATTCCTTTCTTTGTGTCCATGTGTACTCGGTGTTTAGATGTGACTCACAAGTGAGAAGATGAGGTGTTTGGTTTTCTGTTCCTGAATTAGTTCCCTTAGGATAATGGCCTCTGGCTCCATCACATTGCTGCAAAGGACATGACCTTGTTCTTTTTTATGGCTGCATAGTATTCCATGGTGTGTATGTACCACATTTTCTTTATCCAATCTACTGTTGATGAGCATTTAGGTTGATTCCATGTCTTTGCTATTGTGAATAGTGCTGTGATGAACATATGTGTGCCTGAGTCTTTATGGTAGAACAATCTATATTCCTTTGGTTATACCCAATAATGGGATTCCTGGGTCAAATGGTAGTTCTAAATTCTTTGAGACATCACCAAACTACTTTCTGCAGTGGTTGAACTAATTTACACTCCTGTCAGCATTAGCTTTTCTCTGCAGCCTTGCCAGCATCTGTTATTTTTTGACTTTTTAATAATAACCATTCTGACTGGTGTGAGATGGTATCTCTTTGTGGTTTTGATTTGCATTTGTCTAATGATTAGTGATCTTGAACATTTTTTATGTGCTTTTTGGCCACATATATGTCTTCTCTTGAAAAGTGTCTGTTCATGTCCTTTCCTACATTGTAGTGGGGTTGTTCTTTGCTTGTTAATTTTCCATTTTTATTTTTGATACAAGGGGTATGTGTGCAGGTTTGTTACATAGGAATATTGTGTGTTGCTGAGGTTTAGGGTATGGATCCTGTCACCCAGGTAGTGAGCACAGTACCTGATAGGTAGTTTTTCCACCCACCTGCCCACCTCCCTCCACCCTCTAGTAGTCCAGTGTCTATTGTTACTGTGTTTATGTCTGTGTGTGCTCAATGCTTAGCCCCCACTTATATGTGAGAACATGTGGCATTTGGTTTTCTGTTCCTGTGTTAATTCGCTTAGGATTATAGCCTCCGACTCCATCCATGTTGCTGCAAAGGAAATTATTTCATTCTTTTTTATGGCTGCATAGTATTCCATGGTGTATATGTACCTATGTGCAGTTTTTAAAAAGCCGATTATATCTCAATAAAGCTGATGGGAGAAGTCACTTGGAGAGTATCTGCATTGGGGAATGTTAAAAAAAAAAAAACAAAAAAACCCAAACAACCACAGACGGGATTCACAGAGAAAGCCTGCCTTCACAGAGTGAGCAACAGCCATGTTATGGTAACAGCAGGAATTTCCAACTGTGTGTCGTCTCCCTCTGCCATAGCCTCTGGAGGAGCTGGCCACAGGATGAGGAAAGGAGTAATGGAAGAGTAAATTGGAGGGAAAAAATATAATGCAACTCTTAAAACCCTTAATATGTCACATTTATAGTTTAAAATAATAAACTCTGGCTTTAGGAGAGGAGCCTCCTACCTGTCAGAATAAATACCACATGCCAAAAAACAAAACAAAAGGTCAAAGTCCGTGTCTCTTAACCGTGAATAAGCAATGTATGTATTTTGCCATTTTGTCCTTAGGATTTGTTGCAGTATCCTAAATGTGGGTTGTTCCCTGATCTTTAGGAAATAAAATGGGGTCACTGTAGCAGTAGATACAGTCATTTCTTCCTTTATCTGTGGACACTGTCTCTGTATAAAGTGGCATTGGTCTGTGCAGATCTGTGGCTGGAGATAGCCAGGAGAGGTGACCAAAAGCGAGGAAAGTCCATATGACCATCCTTACATAGGTTGACTCTCTCGGATCTTCTTTAAAGACACAGATAGAGTTATCAGCTCTGCTCTTCTGAACACATAGATGTAAATACAGGCATCTCCAAGCTTCATTTGTAAGAGTATGTGCCCAACTGCTCCCAGCCTAGTTAAACCCAGAAGAAATGTGGTAAAGCAGTACGCAGTACAACGTATCCTGTGTTGATCTTGGATCTTACATACGCACCCCTTTGTGCTGCCAATCATCAGTGATCTGACGATTTCTTTCTTTGGTCAGTTGAGGATGACTTGGCTAAACTAAGGCAAATAGCCACTGTTGATTAGTAACTTTCAAAATTCACTGTTTCCTTCTAACCAGTGACAAAGGGGACAGAGCGAGAAAAACACACCATGTGATAAATAGAGCTTTACCCTAGTAAAAAACAATCTGCTGAACAGTATCTGGTCTCAAAACATGTTTACAAAAGTCAATTAATTGGGAGCAGAGTTCATAGGAAGGAAACAACGAAGCTATTTCTTAGAGGACAGACAAAACAGTATTTCTCAACATTCCTGAAAGTTAGCATTTCATTACGTTTCAGCAAGAAAATAAGAAAGGACAGTTGGGCTAGGGCTCATGTTGAAAATATTTGTGTGAGGATAAAATAAGCCATCAATTGGGTGGAAAGTCTGCAAATATTACTGAAAAGGGTATTAAAATCATAGATAATACTTATTCACTACTCATAGGTGAAGAAATTCTGTAATGTCCTAGTTTTATTCATTTTATTACTGAAAAATTGTTGGCAGTGGGCCTCAGTAAAGTGTTTCCTTTTAAATACCAGCCCCCAAAAAAGCTGTGAAATAAAAATAAGCTATTGTTTTTTTTTTAAGTTCCCATATTTCTGCCTCAGAAATACAGTGACTTTCATTTTAAACAATATTGATAATGGAGGAAATGAATGATATTTCTTGGTCAGCAATATGAAAAATTCATAATGCCTTGTCCCCTCTTTGACTCTTGAACTAGCAGTAGGAGTTTGCTTGCACATAATTTCCGTTAAAGTTGATGAAAGATACAGGTGCACTTTCAGAGGGAACAGTATCTGGTAGCCTGTTATTTGAATAACATTATAAAAGACTGCTCTTGAGGTGTAATCAGTGTAGGTAGAAGACAGAAGCTGAGAGCGCAAAACCTT
Source organism: Homo sapiens (assembly GCF_000001405.40). Classification (NCBI taxonomy): domain Eukaryota; kingdom Metazoa; phylum Chordata; class Mammalia; order Primates; family Hominidae; genus Homo; species Homo sapiens. The sequence continues at coordinate 143,619 of NW_003315934.1, forward strand.
GTGTTTGTTTACGTCGGTATATATTTGTATGATTTCATTTGTTGCCCAGTTCAGAGAAATAAAGCATTTATAGAGAAGACCATTATGAGACAAATAATTCAGTATAAAGAGAAAAACGGAAAATAAAACCTCAAAGTATTAATAAATTTGAGGGATGTAGTTTGCCATTGCAATCATCTGTGTTGTGAGGGGGTGTATGTGTTTGCATGTGTACGTGCATGCACGTATGTTTGTGTGTGTGTGAGTAATGGCTGCCACCTTTACTAGTAACATCTACAAAAAAATCATGCAATCTCCTAAGAGTGTATTAGGCTCAACCTGCTTTATTCCAAATGTCTGTTTCTTCCATAAATGATTCTTAAAAAATCCTCAACAGCTTCATCATGGCCCACAATTGATTCTTGGCTCAAGCTTTAGTTGGCTTTAGGTTTTTATTGACGAGTTGTATGTTTTTCCTATTAACATTTCTTTTATGATTTCCATAGCAGTTTAACACCTGGAATGTAGTTTATGTTTTGGAGGAAAAAGACTTATTTATTTCATTTTATTGATTTTTTTTCAAGATCTTTTAAAATCATGACCTTGGTGATTTTCCTTACTGTGTTATTGATGATAGTTATTAGTTGAAGGACTTGATAAACACATGGATTACTCAATTTACTCAACCCAAGCTTTAAGCGTGTTTCATTTTGTTGAACCGATGTTACAACAGAGGAAGAAATAAATTGCACCATTCTGAATCGCTTAAGGAAGTCTCTGGACATTTAGTATACCTGGACAAAACATAAACACCTATTTTTCTTTTTCTTTTCTTTCCTTTTCTTTATTTTATTTTATTTTATTTTATTTTGAGACGGCATCTTGCTGTTTTGCCCAGGGTGGCGTGCAGTGGTGCAATCTCAGCTCACTGCAACCTCCGCCTCCTGGGTTCAAGCTATTCTCCTGCCTCAGCCTCCGGAGTAGCTGGGATTACAGGCACCCACCACCACGCCTGGGTAATTTTTGTATTTTTAGTAGAGGTGGGGTTTCACCATGTTGGCCAGGCTGGTCGCAAACCTATTTTTCCCTTGAAGCATATTACCAGGCTTTTCACAATATTTCTTGGCTGCTAGATATTAGATTTTGCATATCCCCAAAGTCAGTCTACTTCTGTATGCTTTGTAGTGTCTGATACACTGATTCTTTGCAATGGCTTAGGGGGCAGATACTACATGGAATTGGGAAAACTATCCCTTTGATTGGATTTTGGTGTCACATTATGAAATTCCTTTAGTTTTCTCTGCTGTCTCCTTTCAAAAACATAGTTCTCCATAAAGCCAGTTTAATGATTCCTGCACATACAATAATATCTTCCAGCACACAGTGGGCCTAACATCTAGAGGGCTTGGCTGGGGTGTCCGGTGAGTGAAGACTTTTGTTATGGCAAAATAATGAGGTGTGGGCTTTTTATTATAAAATCCCCCCCTGGAATATCAGTTCTCATTATTGTTTTTCTGCTTACTCAAAACTGAAGTCCTTACAGTGAACCCTTAAATATAATGAATTCTGTTAAAATAATTGTTTATACTTTATAATTCAAAATCAGTGTCCTTGTTAATACCCAGAAGGTTGATGCTGAGCCCAAGCCATTTTAGAAAAGAGAATACAACAATAACCATGATTGATAATATGTAGGAGTACTGTACTTCCTTTTTCCTAATTTATTTTCCAGGTTTATATATGTAATAGGCTTATAAGAATAAGTTTTCATTTCTCCCCAGTTTGGTCCTACGATGTAGCGGCAATGACCTGCCCTTCCATCAGCACATGCTGTGCACATGCATGGACACTAACACGTGTGTACTTGCACACACTTGCCTGTTTAGTGATGAGGACTTTACATTAGCTTGCTGACTTTCATGCTAATTGTTTGTACATTTCTCCATGATAGTTACCACCTCCTAACATACTACCTATTTACTTATGTATCTTGTGTGCTTTCTTCCTTAGGCACTAGAATGTAATTTCCTTTGTGGGGATGAGGTGGGGGAAGACTTCTGTTTATTTGTTCATTGCTTTGTAATCAGTGCCTGGAAGAGTATCGGTCACAATGTAAACACTTGAGAAATATTTGTAAAAGGCATGAATGAATCATACACTTTTAACACTAGGTGTCTAACAGTAGGCATTTAGCACTGGGAAGGAAGTCCACCACTACTGTGATTAAAAAGAAGGAAGTGTTACCAACCACTCAGCTTCTGACCTCCCTTTTCTAATGTAGGGGATTCTTTAAATTCATTGTTTCTGGCAGGACAGAGATAGCTAACAAGAAATGTTAGCCATTCCCGGTTGGTGACTTCATCTGCCAGTCCCTGCCCTGCCTCTTGACCTGAAGAAAGTCTAGGCAGAAGGATGGCATCTCAGGGCATCATCCATGCAAAGTGAGGGTGATGAGACCTGCAGTAGCTTCCAGTCTATGACAAGGGTTCAGGCCAGATCCCCTTTGAGAACATTCTGAACTTTAGAACTCTCAAAACCTTTCTCTTTTCAAAGAAAGGAATATCTTCTTTTCAATTATCTATATGAAAAGAGAAAATGAACTCCATAATTCTTTATTGATATTAGAAAAATAAAAAGTAAGTTATTTTACATTGACAGTTGCCAGGAACATCAGCTCCCTTCTGCACAGCATTAGATGATAAGTGTTTTATTTTCATTTTTAACCACAATATATGTAAAAAATAACATATATCATTTACAGACTGATATGATTTGGCTGTGTCCCCAGCCAAATCTCATCTTGAATTCCCATGTGATGTGGGAGGGACCCGGTGGGAGATAATTGAATCATGGGGGGAAGTCCTTCCCGTTCTGTTCTTATGATAGTGAATAAGTCTCACAAGATCTGATTGTTTTATAAAGAGGAGTTCCCCTGCATGAGTTCTCTCTTCTCTTGCCTGCCGCCATGTGAGACGTGACTTTCACCTTCCATCATGATTATGAGGCCTCCCCAGGCACATGGAACTGTGAATCCAATAAACCTCTTTCTTTTGTAAATTGCCCAGTCTCAGGCATGTCTTTATCAGCAATGTGAAAACGGACTAATAAATGGACTTAATATCAAAGCAAAATGATAATTATAAATGTGTGTGTTGTTTATGAATGTGTTACAATTTGATTCTTATATGGCCAGCAAATCCTTTAACTTTAGAAAGCATAACTACATATTTTGACAGACATTAACCAACAAATTTATACTTAAATTGCTCATCCACATCAAAGATCTTCCTTCAGAGAAGGGAAGAATGCGTGTGTATACAGGGAATGGAGGAGGAGAGTCATGCTTTCTTGCACACTTGCAGCATAAAAGGATAATATTTTCAGTGGTGAATTATTCTGAAATTTTGAGGCAAAAGTGTTACTTGGAAGATTCCCTTTGAATTTTCTGGGCAATTGGTATAGTATGTATCAGTGTCTTTTGCAGTGGTGTTGAAAGCCTACTTACTTTGTTCAGGAAGTTTTTTAAAAAAATTTAAGGAGACTTAAGAGCCTATCTAGGAAACCACAAAAATATTTGTAGTATCATATTTCTATTAATTTATTAAGAGAAAAAAGGGAATTTCCAGATATTTGAAGTTTCATATTTACTTCAAAGGTTGCTTCAAGGAGATGGACTACAGAAAATCAGACTGTAAAGTTAGACAACAAAATGAATGATATAAACATGAAAACAAAAAGATAGAGGACATCTGTTTCCAGCCATGATGAGATAATTGGAAGAGAGCTTGTCCTGTTATTGTTAATAACTGGGCAAGACTGGGTGTGGTGGCTCATGTCTGTAATCCCACCACTTTGGGAAACTGAGCCCAGGAGTTCAAGACCAGCCTGGGCAAAATGAAGAAACCCCATCTCTACAAAAATTAGCCGAGTGTGGTGGCATGCGCCTGGAGTCCCAGCTACTCTGGAGGCTGAGGCGGGAGGATTGCTCGAGCCTGGGAGGTTGAGGCTGCAGTGAGTCATGATTGTGCTACTGCACTTAAGCCTGGGCAACAGAGTGAGACCTTGTCTCAAAAAAAAAAAAAAAAAAAAAAGAACTGGACAAAGTGTGTCAAACAATGATTTTGAGGCACCGGACAAGAGACAGTGAAGAATTATGATCCCTGAAAGACAGAAAACAAATGAAGTGAGTCCTATAATCATCCTCATTTTCTTCATGGAGACATTTTCCAAACCACAGAATATGAAGGTAAATCCAGGCAGAGCATGGCATTTTCTTTATAGGGCAGAGTTTAGGGGCTCTGGGCAGGCTAAAATATGTAAGTCAAAGTGCCAGAGTAGAAGGTACCATGGGGATAAAGCACTTCCTAAATCTGCACGGGGCCCCTTTTAGCATGTCTCTAAATACCTTGTCACCTCTGTGTAAGATAAATGTCCATGAAGTCAGGCTTTGCAAAGCTTGACCAGAGAATCTATTACTAAATACTTAGCCACATATGGCACATGCAGAGGATGAAGTTCTATGAGACAAGGCAAAGCATAACCAGAGAGGTATACCCTAAATCTCCAGCATTCTCACAGAGCTGGGAGATGTTTAACTTTTGATCAGGCAGAATGTAGATTCCTCATTGAAAACCTGGGAGATTCAGTAGAAACCCCAGAGGGTTGTGCCTAGTAGTAGGGCAAAGCTAGCCTAGAACTAAAGACTGTTCTAGATTCATCCTAAGAAGTCCTAAAAATGAGCTTTGAAAAGACCAACCTGATACACAGATAACTTTGTCAGATCCAATAGTATTTAGAGAAAGCAACAAAATCTAGTACTCAACGACATATATTCCATAAGGAGCATCCAATAAAAACGTACCAGACATGTGAAGAAGGAAAATGTGACCATAACTGGGATAAAATTAATCCATACAAACTCACAGCCAGCCTCTATGATGGTCCCTAATTTTTATCACCTCCTGGTATTCATTACTTTGTTTCTTTGCACATTGAATTAGAACTGGTCTGTGTGACCAGTGGAGTAGCAGATATGATTCCGTGTGGCATCCTAAGCTAGAGCATAAAGGACATTTTGGCTTCCATTCTCTTGGATCACTTGGTCCAGGGGAATCCGGCAGCTGTCAGGAACAGCCCTGTGATGGGGCCCATATGGAGAGGAACTGGGGTCTCCCACAAATAGCCAGCACAACTTGACAGTCATATGAGTTAGCCATCTTGAAAATGGATCTGATTCCAGCCCCAGTCAAACCTTCATATGTGTGCATTCTCAGCTGACATCTGACTAAATCTCATGAGAAACTTCAAGATAGTAAAAACCCATTAAGGCTGGGCACGGTGGCTCACGTCTGTAATCCCAGCACTTTGGGAGGCCGAGGTGGTGGATCACTTGAGGTCAGGAGTTCAAGACCAGCCTGGCCAACATGGTGAAACCCCGTCTCTACTAAAAATACAAAAATTAGCTGGGCATGATGGTGTGTGTGTCTGTAATCCCGGCTGTTTGGGAGGCCGAGGCAGGCTGATCACCTGAGGTCAGGAGTTTGAGACCAGTCTGGCCAACGTGGTGAAACTCTGTCTCTACTGAAAATACAAAAATTAGCCAGGCATGGTGGGGCGTGCCTGTAATCCCAGCTACTCGGGAGACTGAGAGGCTGAGGCAGGAGAATCGCTTGAACCCAGGAGGCGGAGTTTGCAGTAGTGAGCCGAGATTGCGCCACTGCACTCCAGCCTGGGCGACAGAATGTCATTCCATTTCAAAAAAAAAAAAAAAAAACTGGACATATTTGGAGGGTATTATTGTATTATTCTGCCTCCCAAAGCTGTTAAAATAATTAAGTGAAAAAACTGATGAAGTATTTTGTAATGGTTGGACCAGGCTGACAATACCTAAACACATTAGTGAATTTTACCATCTTAAACAGAGAGCCAGTCGTTAAGCACCTCCTAACATAATGGATTGAAAGCCCACAATGCCACCTTGCAAAAACAAACAGCAAACAAAACGAAGCACATCTCTGATCAAACCTGTCTTACCCATGTCAAGGGGTCAGAGGAATGTGCTAAAACATAATGCCATCAACAAAAGCCAAAATGTAGGATTCTAACTCTCCAGGACAAATGACCTGGTTTCTTTAAGAAATAAACTACAAGAGGGAGAAATAAAAAGAGGAGGGAGAATTTGTAGACTAAGAGTCTTAAGAGACACATTAACTATGGACTTTGTTTTGATTCTTATCAAACAAAGGTATTTAAAATATATGACTTGAGAAATTTTTAAAATATACTTTATATTTTGTTTAGGGCAATTTTAGGTTCATGGTGAAGTTGAGCAGAAAGTACAGTGAGTTCCCATATAGCCCCTGCCCCCTGACCTTCCCACTTGCAGGCTCTCACACTAGCAACCTACCACACTAGAGTGGTACTTTTGTTACAGAAGATGAATTTACATTAACACATTATTATCACCTGAATCCTATAGTTTACATTAGGGTTTACTCTTGGTGTTGTACATTCTATGGGTTTTGACAAATGCAAAATGACTTGTATCTACCATTACAATATTGTACAGAACAGTTTCACTGTCCTGAAACTCCTCTGTGCTCGGCCTATTTATCCCTCCCTCTCCCAAACCCCTGGCAACAATTGATCTTTTCACTGTCTCCAAAGTTTTGCCTTTTCCAGAATGTCCTACGGTAGGAATCATACAATATGTAGGCTTTTCAGATTGGCTTCTTTCACTTAAGATATATTTAAAGTTCCTTCATGTCTTTCATGGCTTGAGAGCTTGTTTCTTTTTAGCATGGAATAATATAACACTGATGTACCACGGTTTACCCATTTGCCTGTTGAAGGATGTCTTGGTTGCTTCCAAGTTCTTGAAATTATGAATAAAGCTGCTATGAACATCTGTGTGCAGGTTTTTGTGTGGACATAAGTTTTCAGCACATCTGGCCAAATACCAAGGAATGAGATTGCACAAGGATCTTGTGCAACAAGAGAGGCCAGAGCTGGAATTGGACCCCCTTGGGATCTGCTGTGGGATGGAGGCTGGAGAGCCCATATCGAAGAATCAGGGGGGCACTTTGTTTCCCAACACGTTTCAGCATAGATGGGACAGTTACCTGATGGCAGCAGGAGCTGAGACCGGGCCTCCTTGGAATCTGCTGTGAGACAGAAGTTGGCAAAACTTTCAGGGAAGCTCAGGCTCTTGAGCTGTGAGATATGGGCAAGTGTCCCTCTGGGTCCTTGTGTGAGCAGTTCTGAGCTGGGCCTCAGCTGAGGGGGGCTAATGCTGAGCCACAGAGCAACTTTCAGGTTCACTGCCAGAACTGATGTCAGCAGGCAGGTGAGCCTTTCCACCAAGATCCTAGTATGTACAATTCCTCCTGGACCTTTGGAAGATGGTTTTGGTTGTAGGCTCAAGGCCAAACAGGGCTGTAGTCAAAGCCCTTGTGGGACTGGGCCATTTCTGTGCTTGAACTTGGGAGCACACTCAATGGATTAGCTACCTGGCTGTTGGTCTGCAATCTCAAAATGACTCTCATAGGTCTTGGGCTCACTGGGGTTTCACAAACTCCAACCCGAATAATGAGGCTCCTGCAGAGAGACTTTTGACTGTGAATAGGTATAGAATCCTTATTAGGGGGTTAGGAGTGCATTACCTTCTATTCCACCATCTTACTAATGTCCAATTATACTTCTTTTAAAACACTTTTAAATGGTTGCCCTAGAGTTTGTAATACACATTTACAACGAATACAAGTCTACTTTCAGATAACATTATTCTGCTTCAGTGGTAGTGTAAATATCTTATAAGAATAATGTATTCCTAATTCTGTCCTTCATTCCTTTAATCATTTCTGCTATTTGTTTCACTTATGTGTAAGCTATAACTGCCAAATATATTGTTTTTATTTTTATTTTGAACAAACTGTTATCTGTTAGATAAGAATAAAAAATAAAAATTTTCATTTTACCTTTACTTATTCCTTCTACAGTGCTCTTCCTTTCTTTACGTAGATAGGAGTTCCCAACCTATATCATTTTCCTCCTCTCCAAAGAACATTAAGATTTCTTGCAAGGCAGGTCTGCTGCCAATAAATCCCCTCAATTTTTGTCTCTTTCACTTTTGAAGGATAATTTTGCAGGATACAAAATTCTAGGTTGGTGTTTTGAACTCTCAACACTCTAAATATTTCACTCCACTCTCTTGTTGCTTGGATAGTTTCTGAGGATGAGTTGAATGTAATTCTTATCTTTACTCCTCAATAGGTAAAGTAGTTTTCTCCTTTAGATTCTTTCTTGTTTTTCTCTTTGTTTTTCTGATGTTTGAATATGAGGTGCTTGGTGTAGTATTATTATTATAATTACTGACATTTATCCTGTTTGGTATTCTCTGAGTTTCTTGGGTCTGTGGTTTGGTGTCTGACATCAATTTGGGGAGATTTTAAGTCATTATTGCTTCAACAATTTCTTCGTTCCCTTCTCTCTTTCTTCTCCTTCTGGTATTCTCATTATGCATGTGTTACAACTTTTGTAGTTGTCCCACAGTTCTTTGACAGCCTATTCTTTTTTTTCCCCCAGTCTTTTTTTCTCTTTGCTTTTCAGTTTGAGAAGTTTTATGGATATATCCTTAAGCTTAGAAATTCTTTCCTCAACTGTGTCCAGTCTACCAATATGACTACTGAGGGCATTCTTCATTTCTGTTACAATTCCATTTCTTTTGGATTATTTCTTAGAATTCCATGTCTGCTTACATTACTCTTTTATTCTTGCATGTTTTTGTGAAGCAAATTTACTGTGTACTGGTTTATCAAGTCATCTGAGTCCAGTGAGACAGAACGTACTCATATGCAACAAGCTACATTAAGTGGATTTATTACTTAAGGATAGGCAATAACAGACAGCAGATGCCTGGGATTCATTGTGAGTCAGTCCCCCCAAGGCTTGGAAAGCTTCCTGGGATGGATGAAGCCTTGACTGTGCATGCCCTACTTGTACTGCAGCTGAGGGACTCCAGAAAGCAACCCACTCTGGGTTTTGTATCCCAGGGGCAACATTGGGGTATAAAAGCTGTAGCCCTTGGATGCATATAATATCCCTTTCCTCATTTTATTGTTCCACATTGGGCTGAAGCATTGATGGACATTCTGTTTTTAGAATGGGGCTGGAATGAGCCTGAGCTATTCCGGCAAACTCCCTCTCATCTCAAGGTGTTGCATTCCCAGCACATTCTACAGTTCTTCTTGAGAACTATGAGGGAGTAAGGGAAGATGAAGAATGGGGTTGGTCCAAGGACACCTAGAGAACTGTCTTGCAGTGCACCCCACCTCACTTCCGCAAGATATTACCCTTAGCAAAGCCAGTCCATATCATATGCTCACCAACCATATGCCCAAATCTGGAGGTGGAGGTTTGTCTTATCAGATTTGTGTAACATCTTGACCAACACATCTTCATTCAGTGCAACACCTTTGGGCCATAGCCAGAATACATTTCACTAGGCTCAGGAGGACTACGACCACAAGCATGACCAAGCCTGCCTGGAGTAGTGACCTAGCCCAGAATCCAAACAATCTAGGTAAGAAATTGCCAAAGAGGTGAAAGAGGAATTCTTCAGGTGGTTCCAGTCTGTGGCCAGTGAACCTGCTTCTGAATCTCCTTCACTTTTGTTTCCATCATACCTGTGGTATTAATCCAGGTATGGCAGGCAGTATTGCCAATTGCATGCACTCCTCCCAGTTGGGTTAAAAGAAAGTCTAGGTAACTTATATCATCTGAAACAGCCTTCCTGAGGGAGTTGAGGGATGTCTGTTGGGCTGTCAAGGCAGTGACAGTGGAGGAAGCAATATCTGCCATGGTCAGGGACAGATTTCTTATCACTTTTTCCTAAGCACTGACTCTGATGCATGGTCTCAAAGATCTCATAAAGGACATAAGCCCACAGTCAGTTCTACCTCCTGGAAGGTTCCTAGTAAGTCTGGTGTATGGCTTTGGGCTGCAGGCCCAAATGGGGGCATCTCATTATTCCCAGGGGTGGTATCTTGGGGCACCCCCAGTACATGCAACATGCAGGATCCCTCTATCTTACAGATTTTCAGGCATGACAAAGCCCGACCTGTATTTGGGTTACTGCCAGACCATCTGCAGAGAAAGTTTCAGGCATGACAATGCCCATCCTATATTTGGGTTACTGCCAGACCATCTGCAGAGAAAGATGTAGCCCTCGGCTGCACATAACTTACCTTTCCTCATTTTATTGTTCAGTGGCCCATACAAGGGGATAGATGCATTGGCTTTCACCAGCCAAGTCTGATTGATAGCATAGTTGCATGAGCTCAGTTTCTCCCATACAATATTGTTCATGAATCCTACACAGAGCGCTAGGGGTAGTCTGGTCTTTGTTTTCATTATCACTACTGGGACACTTGTAGTCCATGTAATCAAAGGAGTGTGTCCATGAAAGTACCTGCCCACCAAGGTTTTGTTAGTTGTGGTTGTGACATTTTGCCACAGAGTCAGTTAATAGGGCACCTCCAGTTCCCTGTCATGTGGCAGGTGCCAGATCCTTGCTTAGTAAGCCACGCTCAGGTGTTATTGCCTTACACTCTGACAATACTCAGGGAATAATGGTTGATATAGTTTGGTTGTATCCCCACCCAAATCTTGAACTGTAGCTCCCATAATTCCCATGTGTCATGGAAGACCTGGTGGGAGGTAATTGAATCATGAGGGTGGGTTTTTTCCTGTGCTGTTTTCATGACAGTGAATGAGTCTCATGAGATATGATGGTCTTATAAAGGGGAGTTCCCCTGCACATGTTCTCTCTCTTGCCTGCCGCCATGTAAGACGTGCCTTTCTTCTCTTTCACCTTCTGTCATCATTGTGAGGCTTCCCCAGCCATGGAACTGTGAATTCATTAAACCACTTTTTCTTTAAAAATTACCTAGTCTTGGATATGTCTTTATTAGCAGCATGAGAACAGACTAATGGTTTAGTTTACCACTGGCAGAAGGAGAAGGTTGCTGTGGTCTGTGACAGGAGGAGGTCCAGGGTGGCAGATCCAACACTTCGTCAGGTTGCCTGCCATGGCCATAGCTTGAAAGAGCCCACCAAAGCATTACAATTCCAGGCTTCTGCTGCCACATCCTTGTGGAAAAGCAGACTGACAGGTTCGTGCCCCACCCCTACCCCTTCCAGGAGGCCCAGGTGTTTCCTACCCATCAGATATGAATTGGGCTGAGGTGGTGTAGTGACGTAGCCTGTCTGTCCCTCTCCTGAGGCTGCCACTTCTGAGGACACCCCTTGCCCTTGCTGCTTAACCCAGACCTTTTGGCCTCAGTTGTCCAGTGTAGGAAGAGAGATCATGTCCTGTACAAACTTAACATGCCTGATAACACTGCCCACTTGACTGGAAGGATCAGATGTCCCTACTGCCTCTAGAGGGACCCTAGCACCCTTGTATTCCTTGGTTTTGTCGCCCACCCTTGTGGGATCACATAGAGGGGAAGGGAGGCACCAAAGGGAAGCATTGCCTCCAGATTAGAGTCAGAGGGCCCCCTGTCTGGGGGTACTGTGGCAGCCTGAACTGCAAACCACCCACAGGATATGCTCTCTAAAGCGAAAAAAGAATTGTTGGAAACATGAGGATTTTGCAGGCTCAGGCCAATTAGGGAGCTGCCTGGTCCACCACCACCCTTACCAAGTTCAGTGTTTCTCAACATGCGTTGCAATGCTGTGTTTTCCTTGTGTTTAGTGCCCATATTACCCTAGTCAGGTGGGGGTACCACCCCACCAGCAGGTTGTCTTGATGTTCTCTCTTCAGTTGCTGTGTGAATCAGCTGTTCCATCATTTAACGGTTTCACTGGCCTGTGCATAATAGAGTGTATGGAAAGCCCATCATATCTTGTGATCATATCCTCTGAAAGTGTAGCCCGTGTCATGTTGCTTGGGCAGTGAAGTATGCTGTTTGGTTAATGGGACATCTCACAGAGTATCCAAAAAACATGAGATAAGTTATCTCAAGGGTGACTATGGTATTCCTATGAGTGACATGTATTTGTCCCTTTAAGACAGGAAGCTGTTGGCATAGTCCTCGTCCTCACACAGGGGATCCTTTAATAGCCTGGTCACTGAGCCGCTGTTCTCCTGACATTTTAGCTAGGCTGCTGGCAATGGCCCATGACTCAGTGAAAATGTAGCAATATGGTGGTAGGGGTGGCCCTGCTTGACCATCACCACTGCAGGTAGTTTGGCCGGTTGGTTGTAACATCTGTATTCAGTCTGAGTCAAACGATGGCCATCCACCTTTGCAGCCCAATGAACCCCATCTGCTTTTAGTTTCACAGAGCCATCACTAAATGATGCCATATTTTTGGAAGGCATGTGTTTGAATCTTGGGCCCTAGGTAGCCGCAGGAAGAGCTACAGTATCCCCTATGAGTAGCTTGGCCTCTTCTGGGAATACAGCCGTTTGTTCATGGAGACTACTAGTGCCACTAGAGAGACCCAGCACCCTGGTATTCCTTGGTCCTGTCCCCTACCCTTGTGCAATCCCATACAGGAGAAGTACCCCAGGGAAGCATCGCCTTGGTAGGCATACCCCAAGGGAGCCACAGCATCCCCTTCACTTCCTGCTGGACTGTAGTGATTAGCCAGAGGTTAAAGCTTTGAGTTTGTGCAGTTATTTTCTGAGTACGTGTCCTGCCCTGAGCATGTGCATGGCTTTAAAATTTCTAGTATACAGATCACCTGAGGTCGGTAGTTCAAGACCAGCCTGGCCAACATGGCAAAACCCCATCTCTACTAAAAATATAAAACTTAGCTGGGCGTGGTGGCGCCCGTCTATAGTCCTAGCTACTCAGGAGGCTGAGGCAGGAGAATTGCTTGAACCCAGGAGGCAAAGGTTGCAGAGAGCCAAGATCACACCACTGCACTCCAGCCTGGGTGACAGAGTAAGACTCTGTCTCAAAGACAAAAAAAAAAAAAAAAAAATTCCCAGTACATAAAGGTGCTTTTGAATGCCTTAATTTGACAAAGAAACTCTTTGCCCAGCCTTTCCTCCCTGGCTTATAGGGCACTATTGAATACCTCAACAGTAACGTTTTGCTCCTGATGCTTGTGGGCTGTTTATTTGGCTTACAATGTTTTAAGGAAATTCTTGCTCCCTTTTCACCATGAGTGAGTTCTGGGGAAGGTGAAACAAGGATAAGTGCTTTGTGTCAGTCTTCCGATAGCTCGTAGACATGTTTAAACAGAAAAACTCTTTGTGAATGAGGTCTTTTCTCCCTCTGGAAGTAGGAACCTGGGTCCCACACGTGGTAGGAATGAAAAAAGGTAGGTAGGCTACCTTTTTTTTTTTTTTTTTTTTTTTTGAGACCGAGTCTTGCTCTGTCACCCAGGCTGGAGTGCAGTAGCGCGATCTCAGCTCTCTGCAACCTCTGCCTCCCGGGTCTCAAGCAATTCTCCTGCTTCAGCCTCCGAGTAGCTGCAATTACAGGTGCGCGTGCCACCACACCTGGCTAATTTTTGTATTTTTAGTAGAGATGGGGTTTCACCATGTTGGCAAGCTGGTCTCGAACTCCTGACCTCAGGTGATCCACCCCCCTCTTCGACCTCCCAAAGTGTTGGGATTACAGGCCTGAGCCACCCTGCCTGGCCTAGGCTACCTTCTTAGGACCACCATCACTATCAAGCCAGGGAGGGGGGTGTGAGACAAGGGCAAATAAAAACGCCACAAAATTTTCCTACCATTTTTAAGTTGCTTTTTTTCTGATTTGGTGTCCACTTGGTTGGTGTAAACCTTGGACCGTTTTCAGAGTTCAATTAGAGTCTTTTCTAACAGTTGTTGCATTTTTCAATTTTTTTATTTTTGTGATGAAATGGGCTCTTGGAGCTACATTCTACCCCGTTTATGCTGACATCACCCCAAATATTTTTGGTGAGGAAAAGAAACTAATTTGGAATTGACGTCTAGGAGAGATAACTAAGGAGCTGGAGCCACTGATTGCAAAACAGCAAAAACATGGCTAAAGCCTTTAGGCAAGGTCACATTTAAATAGCCAGCGTTTCTAATCATTAATACAACTTCTACACTGTTGCTGTTTTTCACTTTTCCCAACCCATTGGTTGGTGTGATGAGTTAAATTCAAGGCCCAAAACCAACAAGTTCCAGGGTAAAAGTGAATTGCTTTGTTACAGTATAGTTTTATGATGATGAATACCTTCTTTAAAAAAAGCAATGTTGGTTTATAGAGTTTAAGATAAAAAAGTAACCAAGTGTTGGTATGGTGGCTCACACCTGTAATCCCAGCAGTTTTGGAGGCTGAGGCGGAAGAATTGCTTGAGGCCAAGAGTTCAAGACCAGCCTGGCCAATGCAGAAAGACCCTGTCTCTTAAAAAAAAATTAAAACAAAAAATTAGTCAGATGTAATGGCATGACTGTAGTCCCAGCTACTCAGAGGCTGAGGCAGGAGGATCACATGAGCCCAGGAGTTTTAGGTGCAGTGAGCTATGATCGCACCACTGCACTCCAGCCTTAGTGACAGGGTGAGACTCTGTCTCAAAAAAAAAAAAAAAAAAAAAAAGAACGTAACAAAGATAAACTTTGAAATCAGAAAGATTAATAAAAATAAAAGTGGACAACATACACAGCCTAATTTCAGTAATTAATAAAAAGCTTCAGTAATGAAGGCTGTGTGGTGGTATTGGCCTTAGAGCAGACAAACAGATCGATGGCACAGAATTAGAACCACACATATATTGTCAACTGATTTTTTTTTTATATAGATGCCAAGTTAATCCTATCCTGAATGACAGTCTTTTCACAAATGATGCTGAGACAAATGGGCAGCTTTTATGAAAAGGGAATGGACCTCTATCGATACTGCCCAACAAATACATGCGTATGGATCACAGGCCTAAATGTAAGATCAAAACTATTAGCTTAGAGGAGAAAACAGAGATGACTTTAATTGTAACCTTGGAGTAGTCAAAATATTTCTTAGGATAAGAAGGCACTAACCATGAAAAAAATATGATAAATTGGATTTATAAACTTTAAAAACTTCTTATCGAAATATACCATTAACAAAATGCATAGAAAAGCCCCTGAATGGGAAAATAAATGATAAGATGCATTTTCACATATGAATGCATGTAGCAAGTGCAATGAAAATAATATTCCATTTATAGTATGAACAATACATACAATAGTTGAATTTCAGGCATAAATATAAAGGGAAAAAATAACAGAAAAGTTGTACCTTGTACTTGATTGTAAAGACTGTAAGAAAGATAACACTTCCTAATTTAGTGAAGATATTTTAACATAAGACTAATTAATTTTTATCAGTATATTTTAAATAATAATTTAAAATGGGATTTCCAAGTCAAGGAAACATGCCCTTGTTTTTGGTTTGTTGACTTTTTTTTTTTTTTCTGAGACGGAGTCTCATTCTTGTCACCCAGGCTGGAGTGCCTGGTGCACTCCAGCTCACTGCAACCTCCATCTCCCAGGTTCAAGCGATTCTCCTGCCTCAGCCTCCCAGGTAGCTGGGATTATAGGTGCACGCCACCATGCCTGGATAATTTTTGTATTTTCAGTAGTGTCGAGGTTTCACCATGTTGGCCAGGCTGGTCTCGAATTCTTGACCTCAGGTGATCCACCCACCTTGGCCTCCCAGTAGTTTGTTGACTATTCTTAATAGTGCATTTAAAAAAATCAGATTGGAATAGGGCAATCAGGAATTCTAGAATTGGTCTTTGACTTGTTAGTGGATATTCAAATAAACCTTCCAAAAAAGGTTAAGAATACTGGAATAAAAATTAGGCCATGAGCTGCCCCAAATATCATAACAAGAAACATAATCTTAAAAAATGTTCTGAAGATGTATGCTTTCGCTGCAGCTAAAACACACACCCCTATTATTGTTGAAATTGCACTTTGTAACACTGGGTAGCCTAGAAGATACAATGCCTCAACTGATTTTTGGTTTACTGAGGGTTGAGAACTAGAAACAAATGCATAGGAAATGTGTACAGAAAAATCGAAAGAAAACCCTATACAAATGACAAGATTAATCATGGATATGGAATCAAGATTGACTTTCCAGAATGCCATGAAACCCGTTACCCCTACAATCACAGAACCAATAGCAAAAGTCACCCACAAGGAACACAATGGATAAGGGATTAACAATAAGGAAACAATGAACATAGCTGCTGATGCAACCAATACATTTCTAACAGTGTCTTCTAATATTGCAGCATACTGATCAAAATATATAAATGCCTGGTTATACACCATTAGGGGAATTTGACAGTCTTCAGCTATGCGTCGTAATTAGAATAACAATATTTTCTTTTTGGCTGAGGAAGAAACATCTGTTGTCTGAATGAAGCCCCGGGAAGAAATGATTTCATTTGATGAAGAAATATTAATATCATGCTGAAAATTTGGAAAATTGCTTAAAAAATCAGGAATATTGTTCATAAAAGTATTCTTCTCATTAGGATCTTGGCTGTTACCTTTTAAATATTGCACATATGCATCTAACCAAAACTCTGTAAGATTTTTATCTACATAGACATTTTTTTCAAAAATTTTAGTACAGTTTTCCAGTTTTTGCCTAACATCTTTATCCCAGTAGTCAACTTTTTTAGTAACAATAACCATAACCCTGGGACCATAATCTGAAAAATAATTCTCCTCTACGTTAAAATATGGTGTGATGTAGGAATCGTCACTTGCCAGATTTCGAAGGTCTAAACCTTCCTGCACATGGAAACACCCATATATACTGCTTATGATGTACAAAACATATATAAAGACTACAAAATACTTGGACTCACTCCTTGTGAGAAAGGGGCCAAAATAGTCTCTAAAAAACAAACTTATTGGATGGATATCAGTTCCATGTTCATCTGGGACAGAACCAAATGGGAAACAGCAGAACTTTTTAAATGAGGGCCATTTTGGGTCAGCCTTTTTCAACCAGCATAGGCAGACTACTTCTCTTTTACCATCCAAGGCCATAAATGCTCCAAAACACGTGATGTTATAAAAATAGCAAAATAACAGGGTCATTCCTGTATAGATGCAAAAACATTGTACAGACCTAAAAGAGCTCATAATCCCTGTATATAAGGCCAGGATGTTAGTGATGGTGGTGATTGTAATAGACACTGCCGCTTTTGAATAGACATTGGACATCCGCTCTCGTATGTCATCTGCAAGGTTGGTCTTATGCCAGGCAGAAATCATGATAAACATGTCATCGACCCCAACACCTGTAAAAAAAAAAAAAAAGAAAAGAAACAGAATCTTCATCTTCATACATATTAGTATCCATTAAAAATTAAACAGGTTGATTCAAACCATTTTCTTTTTCTGTCTCTTAAGGTTTTATTTATCTTGTCCAACCTCTGATTAAATACTACCTTCTCTGTGATGCTTTCCCTGGTTGCCTCTGAATTTACGACAGAACTCATCACTCCTTCCTTTGTAATAAGTCTTTGCTTTGTACATACTCCTATTATTGCACATAGCACAGTATACTCTACTCTTCACTTAGGGTGTTTCCATGATGAGGTCAGGAAACCTGGCTTCATGGGTATTGGTCAAAGCAGCATTGGCAACGTGTATCTTTGATTCCAATAGATTGCTAGAGAGATCATTTTCTCTTGTAAGATATTTCATGCTCATGTACAGACACAGCCAGCCAACATTCTGTTGCTTGAAATATAAGCTGGACTTAACGTGTTCTACAGTTAGCATCTGGCTGTCTCTGTGGTATGATTTGAGAGGCACCACATAGTTTATAGACACACATAGGCACATGCACAGATGTAGTTTTCCTGCTAGTTTGTTTCTGATACCTAGAATGTTGGTATTCAAATTTCACTTGCCCAGTTCATTATAATGAGATCAGAAATATGTGTCAAGGTAAATCTTAAGAATTCTTTACATATTAATGCCTACTAGATAATTAGCTCCTTTCCTCAGTGATGTTTCAGATTGGTTGGAATAGAGCATCTGAGGATTTTCAAGTCATGACTGAAGCCTGGGGAAGGAGGATTACAAAAAAAGGGAACTGGAAAGTGCAGCATGAGCATGTTGCAGATAAATTTCACCTCCCTCCAACTTCCTACCAGACATGTGAGTAATGAATTGAGTTATGACAATAGGATGGCTATGATAACAATAGATGATAGGAATTTTTCAGCTCCATTATAACCTTCTGGGACTACTGTTGTATATGTGGTCTGCTTTGTATACGCAGTCTATCTTTGACCAAAACATTGCTATGTAGTGCATAATGGTATAAGAAAAAAATATTTGACCTTTCAGTTAATCAAGGGATGCAAATTAAACCACAAGTGAGACACTTGGTTTTCTTATTAATCAATATTAGCAAGACTGAGGATTTTTGGAAGTTTTTCTGCAAATGAAGACACTCATAGTCTACTAAGGAGAAATGGAAATTGGCACACAATTTTTCAGTCCAAGTTTGCAACAAAGCAAAAGACTTAAAAAGGGAGTACCTTTGACTATCAAATCTACTTCTAGGAATTTGTCCTAATTGGACAAATGCTCAAAAGTAGGACAAGTGTTTGGTGTAATTTATAGTAGGAAAATATAGAAAACAACATAATCCCATAACAATATGAGGTTGGCCAAATCAAACATAGTGTTAGATTAGAGTCATATTCAGTCTTTTTAAAAAGAGGTAGATATTCAATGTTAAATGAACATTTCTTGTTATAAAATAAGATATTTGAAATGGAGAGAGAGCTATATGTGTATATTTGCATAGACCAAATTCTGGATGGATATACATAAAGATATTAGCAGGAATTATCCCTGAAGGGTGGAATTACAGTTGTTTTCCATTTTTCTTTGTATTTTTGGTAAGCTCAGAATTTATTTTAGTAAGCATTAGAAAATAAAGGTGTTTATATTTTGGAAAGTAAGCATCTTGGAAAAACTAATATTTGGTTTTCTGGGGGAGATAGTGAGTTGTGTACTGGATATTAGCTTATTTATTCTAGCTTTTCAAGGCATACCTTCCTCGTATGCACTCACACCTAATCATCCAGTGTACCCCACAGCCATAAATAACTATAGTTAAGATATATATAATTGATTTAATGTAAGCCATTTTGTAGAGTTTGCAGGGAGGCCTAGGACATTCCTGTATATAACTGTAGACTTTATAAACACCAGATACTTAGGTTATTTTTAAAATTTAAAATTTAAATTTTAAAATTAAATTATTAAATTTAAAATTTAAAATTATTTTAAAATATATTTTTCTTCAATAATAAATTAACCTTAGCTTACTGTAACTTTATTATTTTATAAACTTTTAAGTTTTTAAAAAAGTTTTTGGCTTTTTATGATAACACAGCTTAAAATACAAAAACATTGGACAGCTGTACAAAATATTTTCTTTACTTATATCTTTAATCTATAAGCCTTTTTCTATTTTTAAAAATCTTTATTTATGGCTGGGCACGGTGGCTCACGCCTGTAATCCCAGCACTTTGGGAGGCCAAGGTGGGCGGATCACGAGGTCAGGAGATCGAGACAATCCTGGCTAATATGGTGAAACCTTGTCTCTACTAAAAATACAAAAAGAAATTAGCCAGGCGTGGTGACGGACGCCTGTAGTCCCAGCTACTCGGGAGGCTGAGGGAGGAGAACGGCGTGAACCCGGGAGGTGGAGCTTGCAGTGAGCCAAGATCACGCCACTGCACTCCAGCCTGGGCGACAGAGCGAGACTCTGTCTCAAAAAAATAAATAAATAAATAAATAAATAAATAAAATAAAAAATCTTTATTTTTATTTTATTTTTTTACTTTCTAAACTTTTTATTAAAAACTAAGATACAAAAACACATATGAGCATAGTAGTGCATGCCTGTAGTCCCAGCTACTCGGGAGGCTGAGGCAGGAGAACAGCTTGAACCCGGGAGGCGGAGGTTGCAGTGAGCTGAGATTGAGCCACTGCACTTCAGCCTGGGTGACAGAGTGAGACTCCGTCTCAAAAAACAAACAAACAAACCAAAAACCACACACATTAGTCTAGGCCTACATAGGGTCAGAATCATCGCTATCACTGTCTTCCATCTCCACATCCTGTCCCACTGGAAGGTCTTCAGGACACGTGGAATTGTCTCCTATGATAACAATGCCTTCTTCTGAAATATTTTCTGAATAACCTACATGAAGCTATTTTACAGTTAACTATTTTTTTCATAAGTTAGAGTACACTCTAAAATAATGACATAAAATTTAGCATAGTGAATACATAAAGCAGTAACAATTGTTTATTATTATGTTGTGTACATAATTGTATGTGCTATACTTTCATAAGACTGGCAGAGCAACACGTTTGTTTACACCAGGACATAAGGAAAGAAAATACTATTGTACAGCTGTCCATTGTGTTTGTGTTTTAAGCTGTGTTATCACAAAAAGTAAAAAAGTTTAAAAGAAACTTTAAAGTTTATAAAATAATGAAATTATAGTAAGCTAAGGTTAATTTATTATTGAAGAAAGAAAAATACATTTTTAAATAAATGTAGCATAGCTTAAGTGTCCAGTGTTTATAAAGTCTGCAGTAGTGTACAGGAATGTCCTATACCTTATGTTCACTCAACATTCATTCACTGACACCCAAAGCAACTTCCAGTCTTGCAAGCTCCATTCGTGATAAGTGCCCTATACAGGTGGACCATTTTTCATATTTTCTACCATATTTTTACTGTACCTTTTCTATGTTTAGATATATTTAGATATACAAATACTTACCATTGTGTGACAGTTACCTATAGTTTTCAGCGTAGTAACATGCTGTACAGGATTGTAGCCTAGGAGCAAGAGGCCCACATAGCCTAGGTGCGTTGTAGGAAATATAATCTAGGTTTGTGTAAGTACACTCTAGGAAGTTTACACGATGTTAAAATTGCCTGTGGATGCATCTCTCAGACCCTCAATGTTAAGTGATACATGACTGTATTTTTAATGACGCGTATTTTGTTTTTTACATGTGAACTGCTGTTCACGTACATGGTCTGTTTTTCCATTAGGATACTCGATCTTTCCACCTCTAGAGATATCCAGTTCAATTTCATTTCCCTGTTTCCTGGCACCTCATTTTTGAACTGTAGAGCCACCTTAATACAATTCTTTCCCTTATATATATCCCCTACCCCACCACATACACGGTGTGCAGCCTCCCGTTTTGTTTTACTCACCTAGAATAAGAAATGGTGAATTGGCAACTATGATGACAAATGGCACCCCAATGTGCAACAGCAGGCCAAAGCCGCTCACCACTGCCAAGAAAGCAGAAATCACTCCAAAGGCCGCAACACACATTTTGTTTCGTATGCAGTCAAACCTGTAAATTTGGAGGGAAAAATCATGGAATTTGTGGTGGTAGCTTTCATCAATGGATAACATTCTTGACTTGGACACCTAGTCATAAATCTCTAAGACAGTAATTTCCACACATATCTGCTGGAGACCTTTAATTCCCAGGGACTATCTCAGAACAACTGAAAAAAAAAAAAGGAAAGAAAGGGAGCAGAAAAGTTAGAAATCTGTAAATCTGTACTTCTACCGACTCTGCTATATGTGATTCTTTGCAGCCAGCCAAGCACTAAGTCACTGACTAGCATTTTGGAACCACAAAGAATTACTAAAACACTGCTAATGGCTAATTCCACTCTGATCTTCAGAAGGGTGTGAATGGAATATAACAGATAATGAAGAGCAAGCTGTACTAGAGAAAGAACATAGATCCAATTATCTTTTTATCCATCCCTGGTCTCTAACTAGCCATAACACAACATTAAATGCCTCCTGTATTTCAAAGTTAGTACAATGTGTATTGTTGTTAACATAAAGTAGGAAAGTCTTTTAAGTTACTTTCAGGATTCTTCTCTACTGGTGAAGTGGGCTCTGTGGAAAAGTTGCTACGAATTTGGAAAAAATTAAAATGTGCTATATTTTAAATGACCCAAACTGTGCCTGTTTCCTTGGCAAACCAACAGAAACAGGACTATATACAAAATATTTTAAAGCATGATTCAGTGCTTTACCTCCTCAGCAACCATAACATTACCTTTTAAAAGATTGGCAACAACCTCTGGTTTTAGATTTTGCTTGTTAGAAATTGCTTCAAAACAAATGACTGATACCTGCATTCAGATATTTTAGTAGGGGAGAGAAACTAAGTTTGGAATTTTAGTCTAGGAGCTGAAGAACTGGAGCCACTGGTTTCAAAACAGCAGGAACATGACTGAAGACCTGCAGGGGAGATCACATTTAAATAGATAAAATTCTTCTTCTTAATAAAATGTCTATACTGTTATTGTATTTCACTTTTTCTTAACCTGGTACTATGAATTAAGGTCGGGGCCCCAACTCAACACACATACACATATAAATTCCAGGGCAAAAGTAAATTGCTTTGTTATAATAAAATCTCTTACTATAATTCTTTCTTTCTTTCTTTCTTTCTTTCTTTTTTTTTTTTTTTTGAGACAGACTTTTGCTTTTTTTGCCCAGGCTGGAGTCTCACTCTGTCACCCAGCCTGGAGTGCAATGGTGCAATCTTAGCTCACTGCCACCTCTGCCTCCCGGGTTCAAGTGATTCTCCTGCCTCAGCCACCTGAGTAGCTGGAATTACAGGCATGTGCCACCACACCTGGCTAATTTTGTATTTTTAGTAGAGATGGGGTCTCACCATGTTGGCCAGACTGGTCTTGAACTCCGGTGATCCGCCTGCCTCGGCCTCCCAAAGTGCTGGGATTACAGGCATGAGCCACTGTGCCCGGCCTAATATAATACGTTCTTAAAACAACAATATTGGTTTATAGGAGTTTAAGATAAGAAAGTAAAAGAGATGAATTTCAAAATCAGAAAGATTTTGGATAAAAGGATAAAAGGTATATATGACAAGGTTATGCCCATTCCTCCTTTTGAGTTTCTGGATTTCTTAGGTGTGAATTTTTCAGAGGATAGGGGAGTGAAGTATAGTATTGATTATAGAGACTTTGGCTAGATATAAATAAAGTTCAGGACTATCTGTGGTTTCAGGCA
The DNA here is from genome assembly GCF_000001405.40 of Homo sapiens. Lineage (NCBI taxonomy): Eukaryota > Metazoa > Chordata > Mammalia > Primates > Hominidae > Homo > Homo sapiens. The sequence continues at coordinate 166,710 of NW_003315934.1, forward strand.
TCCGTTGTATGTCTTGGATAGTATTCCTGTGGAAAAGCAGGGGATTACTATACATAAAATAGCATGAGCTATAATTGAGTTCAATTTAGAGCACAGACTTTTGAAAAAGTCTTATTTAAATGACTTCATTGCAAGACAATAAATATAGAACCCTGAAATATGTTTCAGTAAGTGTCTTAAATGAGCTAAAGGCAGGTATGCAAGGTATAACCTTCATATATGAGAGTGTGTGAGACAGGCAAAATGGGGATATGTCCTAGAACTGTCTAGGAAGCTCCACCCAGAACGGACATGAGACCCTCTGTGATAAGGAAAGAGAGGGAGCGAGAAGTGTCCAGGGAACTTACAAAAGCACTTGCAGGCAGCCGGGTGCGGTGGCTCACGCCTGTAATCCCAGCACTTTGGAAGACTGAGGTGGGCGGATCACCTGAGGTCGGGAGTTCGAGACCAGCCTGTCCAACATGGTGAAACCCCGCCTCTACTAAAAATACAAAAATAAGCCAGGTGTGGTGGTGCATGCCTGTAATCCCAGCTACTCAGGAGGCTGAGGCAGGAGAATCGCTTGAACCTGGGAGGCAGAGGTTTCAGTGAGCCGAGATTGCGCCATTGCACTCCAGGCTGGGTGACAGAGTGAGACTCCATCTCAAAAAAGAAAAAACACCAAACAAACCAATACTTGCAGAAGGATCAGTTTCATATTCAAAGCCAGAGAAGACATATATTAGACTGTCATGGCAGCATTCATGTCTTAAGAATTTTTCGATTCCATTTTTCCTACTGTTTGAGCATGCTCCAGTCTGTGAACCACTCAGCAAGATGGATAGTGAGAGAAGTGATAGGAGAGGTCTGGAATATCCCTTTTTCCCCATTAAAGGCTATTCCATGTAGCATGCTTCAGCTAGGAGAGGAGGAAAAACCTTAGCTTCAAATCAAGTTACCACTTTTGTTTATGACATGAACATGAACATGAACATGGACATTTTAATTCTGACTGGAGGACTTTTTGTCTTGCCTAAGAATTACCGTAACGTAGGGATTGCCTGAATTTTCATGAGGCAGAGGAAGAACTTGCTCTACCTAGTAAACTTACAAACTTACAGGAAACAAAGGGAGACAAAAATACAACTGCTTTATGTTTATACCTTATGAGTCTTGTGTTCAATATGGTGGTTACATAAGCATAGAAGAGTCTTTGGAGACAACTATAAATCATTTTCCAATTCCCTTAAATAAAATATTTTTGTGCATTATTGTCCAAAATCACTTGTAAAGATATGTAAGAACTGACTAGAGTTTGTATTTTCAAAACCAACTATCTAGTAGAAAAGTTTTGTTAAACCAATTATTGGTAACATGTAGACTGAATTTTTAAAATGCTTTATCCTACTAACTTTAATAGCCTGAATTTTGTGGGGTTTTTTTGTTTCTTTTTAAAGTTTCTTTGTTTTCTAAGTGATGTGGTCTTCCTTTCCAGAGTAACAAAATTATGAGGTAGTTCATTGACCCTAAAGAGGTCCCCAGTGTCTTCACATCCCTTTACCTACTGAGACTTCATCTTTCTTTTCCTTACATCTAAATAGTTAAATTATATTATTTGTTCCTAAACCTACCTACACATAAGAATCAGCTAGAGAAATTTTTGAAATATAGAGTTCCAGATTTAACCCCAAGATATTTTAATTTGATAGGGCGGGGCCTGAGAATATCTGGTTTATGGCTCTCTGGGTGACTCTGATGTAAAATAATCTATTTATTTTAATAGAATTAGAATATAATCTATGGGGTTCCTCCTACATCTAAATTCTGTTGTTTGATGATATCTTTCATATTTAGTTTGAACTCAAGAACACAAACTACCCCTAATGCCTAGAGAACAATTTTTAAGTGCTTAACAAGGTAAACTGCACATCAGAACGATGGAGACACTTAAGTCAATTAAATTAGAACTTAATTTTTTATATAGTGAAAAGTACTATTTCAAATTAGCAGAAATAGGACATGCTTCTTGGTTCTACCAACTTATCTGCCTTCCAAATGGAACAATTAATCATAACTGATGCAATATGTAAGGTAAAAAAGATATGCCAAATCAAACAAAACCAGCCACAATTTCTTTTACTATTCCATTTGATTAGACACTATTGCTGATGGGAAAAAATGTTTTTAAAAGTCACCAGGTTTAAAAAACAAGAGTTTAGCACTGGATGTTAGGAAGAATGGCAGAAAAAAAAGCTCTTGTCCTCTCAAAGAATTATCAAAAAAAAAAAAAAACAAGCAGAAACTGTCAGAACCAATTTTATGAACCCTGGAAAATAGTCGAAAAGTTACAGCAACCAAGCGAATGATGAATCCAAAAAAAAAAAAGCCCCCCCTTTCTGGCATGGTGGCAGTCTTAAAGCAGTAAGTCTTAAAGTGGCATGGGTGTTAAAGTGGTCACACTCTTAAAGCGGCCATAGTCTCAAAGCAGCAGCAGTATAAAGTGGTCACAGCCTGAGTTCCCAGTGTGAGAGTGTTTCACTGGATCTGGAGGGGGCAGAGCAGATTTTACTCAAAAAATATTGTATATGAAAATTAGCTGGGCATGGTGGCGCACGCCTGTAATCGCAGCTACTCAGGAGGCTGAGGCAGGAGAATGGCGTGAACCCAGGAGGTGGAGCTTGCAGTGAGCCGAGATCGTGCCACTGCACTCCAGCCTGGGCTACAGAGTGAGATTCCGTCTCAAAAAAAAAAAAAAAAATTGAAATGTGGCTAGGCATAGTAGCTCATGCTGCACGCACCAATGGGGGTGGCTCACAGTGTAATCCCACCACTTTGGGAGGTTGAGGTGAGAGGATCACTTGAGGCTAGGAGTTCAAGACCAGCCTAGGCAACACAGCAAGATCCTGTCTCTACAAAAAATAATAAAAATTAGCCAGATGTGATGGCATGTGCCTGTAGTTCCAGCTACTCAGGAGGCTGAGGTGGGAGGATTGCTTGAGTTTAGGAGTTCAAGGCTGCAGTCAGTTATGATTGTGCCACTCCACAGCAGCCTGGGCAACAGGAAAAGACCCTGTCTGAAAAGAAAAAAGAAATGTGAAGAAAAGAAAGCATAATAGAGGAAATGAAGGACAAAAAAGTTATAAGACAGATAGAACATAAATTTAAAAATGTTACAAGTTCTTTCTTGTCAGCAATTACCTTAAATGTAAATAGATTAAACTCTCCAATCAAAAGACAGGTTGGCAGAATGGATAAAACAACATGATCTAACTATATGCTGTTTACAGACTTACTTTATTGCCAAAAATATAAGTAGATTGAAAGTACATAAAAGGATACTCTACACAAATAGTAACCAAAATAGAGCAGGAATGGCTACACTAACATCAGGCAAAACAGACTTAGAGACAAAGGAGTACATTATATATTGATAAACGGGCCAATTCCCCAAGAAGCTATAACAACTGTAAACATATGTGTACTGCATAACAGATACCCAAAATATATGAAGTAAATATTGACAGAAGTGAAGGGGGAGATAGAGCGCTCTACAATAATAGCTGGAGAGGACTAGGCGTGGTGACTTACACCTATAATTTCAGCACTTTGGAAGGCTGAGGTGGGTGGATCACTTGAGGTCAGGAGTTCGAGACAAGCCTGGTCAACATGGTGAAACCCCATCTCTACTAAAAATACAAAAATCAGGTGAGCATGGTGATATACACCTGTAATCCTAGCTACTCAGGAGGCTGAAGCAGAAGAATTTCTTGAACCTGGGAGGCACAGGTTACAGTGAGGCAAGATTGTGTCATTACACTTCTGCCTGGGTGACAGAGTGAGACTCTGTCTCAAAAAAAAAAAAAAAAAAAAAAAGAAAAAAAACTGGAGAATGCAATATACCACTTTCATCAATGCATGAAACATCTGAGAAGAATATCAATAAGGACATAGAGAAATGAACAACACTACAAACCAATTAGACCCTACAGAATTATATAGAAGACTCAACCCAATGACAGCAAAATATACATTCTTCTCTAGTGCCCATGGAACATTCTCCAGGATAGATCATACATTCAGCTGTAAAACAAGTCTAAATAAATTTTAAATGATTGAAGTTATACAGTGTACGTTTTTCTAACCAACAATAGAATAAAGCTAAAAATCAATAATAGGAAAACTGGAATATTAACAAATCTACAAAAATGTAACAATACACTATTAAACAATCAAGAGACATTAGAAAATACTTAGTTAAGAATGAAAATGAACACACAACATACCATAACTTATGAGATACAGTGATAATAGTGCTCAGAGGGAAATTTATAGCTAAATACCCACATTAAAAAGAAAAAGGATTTCAAATCAATAACAACTTGTGGATCTAGGGAAAGGAGGGAAACCAAACCCAAAGCTAACAGAGGTGTGTTAGTCTGTTCTGCCCACTGTAACAAAATATCTTAGACTGAGAAACTTATAAACAACAGAAAATTGCTCCTTACAGTACTAGAGGCTGAGAAAGCCAAGGTCAGGGCCAAAGATTTGGTGTCCAGTGAGGATTTGCTCTTTGCTCCACAGATGGTGCCTTCTTGCTATGTCCTTACATGGTAGAAGGGGCTAATAAGCTCCCTCGGAATTATTTTTAAGAGTATCAATCCCATTCTAATCACCTCTCAAAGGCCCCACCTCATATTACTATCACACCAGGAATTAGGTTTCCACATAGGAATTTTGGGAGGACACAAACATTCAGGCCACAGGAAGAAGGAAGGAAAGAATAAAGATTAGAACAGAGGTGAATACAGAATAGAAAAACAATAGAATGAATCAATCCAAAAGTTGGTTACTTGAAAATATCAACAAAATTGACTAAATTTTACCTAGTGTCACGAAGAAAAAGAGAAGACACAAATAACTTAAGCTGACATGAAAGCGGAGACGTTACTACTGACCTTATAGAAATAGAAAAGTTTATAAGAGAATATTATCAAAAACTGTATGTCAACAAACTGGATAACCTAGATGAAATGCATGAATTCCTACAAAAACACAAATGACCTAAACTGACTTAAGGTGAAATAGAAAATCTCAAGGCCTATAACAAAAGATTAAACCAGTAATAAAAAAACTCCCAATAAAGAAAAGTCCAGGACCAGATTTCACTGATGAATTCTACCAAACATCTAAAGTGGAGGTAACAGGAATCCTTCTCAAACTCTTCCAAAAAATTGAAGACGAGGAAATATTTCCTAACTCACTCTGGGAGACCATCATTACACTGACACAATACCAGACAATGACATCATAAGAAAAGAAAACTACAAACCAATAGCTCTCATGAATATAGGTGCAAAAGTCATAAACAAATACTAGTAAGTCCAATCCAAAACGTATTAAAAGGATTATACATCATAGCCAGCTGGGATTTATCCCAGAAAGGTCATCGGGAGAAAGTCAGTCAATGTAACATACCATATTTATAGAACAAAGGACAATAACCACATGTTCATCTCACTAGATGTTTAAAAGGCACTTGACAAAATCCAATACCCTTTCATAATAAAAACACTAAAAAACTAGGAATATGAAGGAAAATTCCTCAAAATAATAAAGGCATTTATAAAAATAGTAAAACTAACATCATACTCAAGGGTGAAAGAATGAAAGCTTTCCTCTAAGATCAGATCAGATCAGAAACAAGACAGAAAAGACTCCCACTTTCCCCATTGATATGCGATGTTGTACTGGAAGTTCTAGCCAGAGCAATTAGATTAAAAAAAAAATAAAAAGCATCTAAATTGGAAGGGAAGAAATATAACTCTCCCTCCTCAGAGATCACATGATTGTATATATGAAAAATACCAAAGAATCCAGAAGAAAACTACTAGAGTTAACAAATTCAGCGCAGCTTCAGGATATAAGAGCAACACCAAAAAATTAGTTGTGTTTCTATACATAGGCAGTGAACAACCCAAAAAGGAAATTAAGAAAGCAATTCTATTTAAATAGCTCTAAATGAATGAAACACCTAAGAATAATTTTAACCAAGGAGGTGAAGGATCTGCACACCGAAAACCAGCAAACATTGGTAAAAGAAACTTAAAAAGACCTGGATAAATGGAAAGATCCTTAGTTCCTGGGTTGGCAGACTCAATATTTTTAAAATGCCAGTCCTACTCAAAACAATCTGCAGATTCAACACAATCCCCATCAAAATTCCAACAACCATTTCCCCCCCAGAAATAGAGAAGCTGATTCTAAAATTCATATGGAATTGCAAGGAGTCTAGGATGATCTATATAATCTTGAAGAACAACAAAGTTGAAGGAATCAGTATTATTCAGCCATAAAAAGCAATGGAGTTCTGATACACGCTACAAGGATGAACCTTGAAAATATTATGCCTAGTGAAATGAGCCAGTCACAAAAAGATAAATATATGATTCCACTATATGAAATCTTGAGGAAAATTCACAGAGACAAAGTAGATTAAAGTTAACTGGCACTGGGTTGGGGGTGGTGGTGGTGATGGGGAATTTATTGCAAAATGTTAACAGAGTTCTTGTTTGGGATGATGCAAAATATTTGAAAACAGATCATTGTGATGGTTGCATGCCAATGTGGATGTAATTAATGCCACCGAATTTTACACTTAAGAGTGGCTATAACATCATATGTTATGTCATATATATTATTATATTTTACCACAATAAAGTATTTTTCATAAAGTAAGAGATTTAAAAACTAATCAAAGCTTTTTACCTAAAGCATGATGTGACTGCAAACAGAATGATGAGAATGTATGCCAGGTGAAACACAGGGATCACAGTCACAGAAGTTGCCTCAAATTCCAGTTGTCTGGAAAGCGATGTAAAGTGGACTACCTGCCACAAAAATATACTCAGATAAATAGCTTTTAATTACAATATTTGTGTGTGAGTTACAAAAACTATTGAAACACTTTATCTTAGTGATGAAACAATATGTATGTTAAAATTCAGCAAAAGATAAAAATACATGGATTATGACTTCAGAATAGAGAAAATAATGTAGATTTGCTTCTTTCCACACATCTATGGATTCCCCAAGTTTCTTTCAAATTCAAAGTTTAAATAAAACTCCTGAATAAACAAAATCTGAATTTTATATAAAACTTTGAAATCTTTTTTTTTTTTGAGACAGGGCCCTCAACCTCCTGGGCTCAAGTCATCCTCCTGCCTTGGCCTTACGAATAGCTGGGACTACAGGTGTGCACCACCACGACTGGCTAACTTTTGTAATTTTTGTAGAGATGGGGTTTTGCCAGGTTGCCGAGGCTGGTCTTGAACCCCTGGACTCAAGCAGTCTACCTGCCTTGGTGTCCCAAAATGCTGGGATTATAGGCGTGAGCCACCACACCCAGCCTAAAACTGTTTAATCTTGTTCTCATTAATAGCTGCAGAAATTGTAACTTTTTCTAAATTTGTATTAGGTTAGTGTCTTTTACTATTTCAGTTGCATAAATATTTCAGGAGGGCCTGGTCTTTGAAAGCTCTTTCCAGCAGGTGTCTCTTTCACTAGGCTTATTTATACATCTGAATAGTGTTGCAGATCCACCAATAACTGAACAGCTAATATGTACCTCACACTAAGCCAGGTGCTGCTTCGTATGTATCTAACTTGAAAAATGCTAAGCTAGTTATCTTCTTAAGGCTATGGAACTTTTACTTAAAAGACGGTTTGTTTTTTAATCCCAATGAGCTCCAAGCAAGTTTTAGGGGTTCCCCCAAACCAGTGAAGACTTTAACTAAAAGTAGAATTTCAGAATACTGTAATTTGATTAGAAACCAAACCCCAAAATTAAACATGAAGATCAATGTCTGTACTGAACAGGCCCATCTGGTGGACATAGGATTTGTGTTATCGACTAGAATGCTACCAAGGATTCACAATTTCTGGCATCCGTCGGTGTTAAGAAAATTGGGTTGAGTACCAAATACAGTAGAGCACACCCAGCCTAGAGGCAAGGGCCCCGTAAAGTAGTCAGGAAGTGCTTTTGTTACGATTCTGGGGAGCAAGTCTTCCTCATCCCTCTCACCTTCTCCTGGCCTCCCTGTAAACCCACACCACCAGGTACCTCAATTTTTTTCAAGGCCAAGATGTTCTTAATGTTGGTAAATTGATCGAGCAAATGGGTGAGCCACTGCTTGCTCTGCACGTCGTACTCAGGGTCCTCGGTCTTCAGGTAGTACAGCAGCCGCATGGCTTTGGCCCGCAGGAGTAACTGGCCCATTCCTAGGCTGCCCCCCAAGATGTATCCTCCGAAGAAGCCGGTCAGGTAGAGGGGATGCCTGCCGTGGTTGTAGGCGGGGAAGGAGATGCTGCTCAGGTTGAGCGTTTTGTTCACCTGCCAGGCGTACAGGATCGGGTTGGGGGGCACGCAGAGCGCCCTGTACCTCGCGCACACCTGCTGGTACTGGATCTGGCTTCCCTTTTCCCGCGCCACGCGCAGATCCTGCACCGCGCCGTCCAGTTTGCTGACTTCTGCAAAGGTAGCTGGGTCCAGCAGTGAGTCGCTGTAGGAGACCACCAGAAGCGAGACGAAATTGGCTTCGGTGCTCCTCCTGGAGGCGGAGAAGCGGTAGGAGTCGTTGGTGGTGAAATGGCCCTGCACGAAGCGCCGCTCCGCCTTGGCCGGGCTCCCCACAGGGGTGTAATGCTCCTCTAGGTCTTCCTCTTCGTCCTTGGGTAGGTACAGGAAGCCGGTGCCCAGCGCGGCTGTCAGCATCAAGGGCGCCAGCAGGAAGATCCAGGGGTGCGCGCCCACCTGCCACCCCAGCCACTGGAAGGTGCGGGACAGCAGCCCCTCTAGGCAGTCGGTGTGACAGCGGTGCCGGTGCCTGCAGATGGCCGTGGGTTCGGGGGTTTCCTCCTCCGGCAGGGGTGCATCGTCCAGCTCCAGCGGCAGGCGGGGTGCATCGTCCAGCATCGACGGCCGGGGGGGTGCATCGTCCCCCTCTGGCAGGGGTGCATCCTGCTCCGACGCCAGGGGTCCTGAGGGTTCGGGGGATTTCGGGGGTGCCAGGGGTCCCGGGGGTGGCTGCTTGCCTTCCGACTCCGATTCCTGAGATTCCTGGTACCACTGCGGCCCGGTGGCAGAGTCCGGTTTGGTGAGCTTGGGCTTCTGCTCCGGCCCCGGCCTGGGCTTGGGCTCCACCCACGGCATTGATTCTTCCTCTTAGGAAGCGCAGGAGGAACAGCAGGTGAAAAGCAGCTGCGGAGATCCCACCAGACGGTTTCCTGGCCCCACCCAACGCTCTCCTGGCCCCACCCAACGGTTTCCTGGAGAAATTCTAGGGGAGTTTGCCCTCCAGCCGCGCTCCGGAAGCGGAGGCTGCGTTGGGAGCACGTGGTTTGCCCCGTCGCCCAACTAATCTGAAATGTGTTTGTGGCGTGCCTGGTTTCTCAGGGGTTCTGCACATACAAGGAACGCTTCTTCAAGGCCATCAAATGCGTGCCTATCCTATGGACTCGCAATTTATTGGGAGAATGTGGGTGTTTCTTCCATGCACACAAATGGCACAGAAATTCCACGTGTCCTGAGTGACAGATTTTACCTTTCTTGGCATTCACCCAGTAACAGTTTCAAGTAAGACTTTTATGAATCTGACACACTTGACTTAGTTATTATTTTTATTTTCTGTCCACAAGTGTAACATGTACATACATTCTCCTAGTAAAAAGAAGTAAATGCATAGAATGAAAAGTGGGGAAAAAAAAATCAAAATCTTTCACTCCCATTCCTCTTAAAAGAAGTGTTAAAAAGTGGGTCTACATCCTTGCAAACCCTTTCTATGCATATACATGCATATCAAAGATATAGCAAATATACCTTTTTCATAAATACTACTTCACTATTCATGTTATGTAGATCACATTTTTCATCTACAGTGGCAGAAGATTTGAACATGTCAGTGCATATGGATTTATCTTATTTTTTTGAACTGCTCTATACTTTTCCAATGTATGGATGAAACATAATTTAGCCAGAATTTTACTGATGGACCCATACATTGTTTAGTCATTTGCTTTTATAAACAGTGCTCAGTAAATAAATATCATATTTTAACCTGTACACAGCAACCATATCTGTGAGAGATAATTCTTTAGAGTGGATTCACTAGGCCAAAGGATAGGTTCTTTTAAATTTTTAGAGCTATTGAGAAATTAAAATCCAAAGAAGTTGTATTGATTTATACCCTCATAAGCAATATATGAATTTGCCACAGCCTATCCTACAATGTCAGCAAAGTGGTTTGTGCCACTGGCATCTTACTTTGGTTTAATTTTGAATGTACTGCTTAGTATCCTTATCTTTCCTTTTTGAGTGAACTATCATATCTTTTGCGTGCCTATTCCATTCAATAGTTTTCCTATTGGATTTTGGGATTTTCTTCTTGATTTATATGTTAAAGAAATGACCACTTTTCTTGTGGTCTGAGTTACAAGCCTCCCCTCTCCCCTCATTTTTCTCATTGCCATGGCTTATTTTTGCAATTCAATTAATGAATACTTTTCTTTCATGAATTCCATTTTTTGTCATAACAAATTTTTCTTTTTTTGTGATTATAATTGCTGCGATTTGAATGAATGTGTCCCTCCAAAATTCAAAGGTTGGAACTCAAACCCCAATGTGATAGTCTTTAGGGGTGATTAAGTCATGATGGTAGACCTCTTATGAGTGGGATTAGTGACCTTATAAAAGGGCTGGAGATAACTAGCTAGGCCCTTTTGCCCTTCCACTCTTTCGCCAGGTGAGGACATAGCCTTCCTTCCCTCCAGAGGGTGCAGCAACAAGGCACCAACTTGGAAGCAAAGGCTGGGCCCTCCAGACACCAAACCTGCCAACATCTTGATTTTGGACTTCCCCCATCCAGAATTGTAAGAAATAAATTCCTGTTGTTTGTAAACAGGATCTTAGATATTTTGTTATAACAGCACTAATGGACTAATACAATAATTATCTGCTTTTTAAAAATTTAAATATTAATCCATCTGGAATTTATTTTAGTTTAATGTAGGCAGTTAAGAATCAATGACATTAAGTGATAGTTGCCAACTGAAAACTATGCTACCCTTTCCATCATAATATGGAATTGTAATTGAAATATGGCTGTCCAATCAAGGATTACATTTTCAAATCTCCTTTGTTCCTTTGTGTGGCCTTGTGACCAGTAATCAGCTACAGAATATAAGTGGAAGTGATGGGTGTTTCTTCCAGACCAAGACCTTTAAGAATTGCTCTATCCCATCCCATCATCTAGACATAGGTGACAGAGGAACCTACTTGAACTGTGGTACATAAGCTGGCAGGAACCTGGGTTCCTGAAGCATCATGGGCAGGATACCTAGTCACTGACCAGGAACATCTGTAGTGACTGTTACATGAGTGAGAGATATATTTGTATTGTGATAAGCCACTAAAATGTCATGGCTTATTTATTAAAATGATTAGTTTGGCTTTACTACTAGATAATCCATGAAGATATAGCTGTCCCTAACACTCATATCTGAGCACACTTTAGTTTACTTAGCACTCTACCTGTTGACATTGAAAGAGAGGTGTTAATTACATAGCATTTGAAAAAGATCTGGAAGAAAGGTGGTTTATCAGTGGGTGTACTTCAGGGTTAACCAGATGTTAAAATGAGAATTCTATTCAGTGCGCTTGTGTCATCCACATCAGTAGATCTGACTATGGCAGTATCAGAAAGCAAAAAACAGACGTATATCAAACCAGTCCCTGCTTATTTTAATTCAACTATCAATAATAATACTTCATTTAAAATAAGGCATCCAAAACAAATTTAAATTAGATGGTTTGCCAGGACTATAACCTATATTAAGCAAAATACCCCTTTTTTGTAAATATAAGTGAATAATCATGAGGAATAACATGAAGAAGGAGGAAGATGAGCTAATAAAATATCTAAAGTAATTGAAGGACAAATATTTGGTGATTAAATCAATGTTGAATTAAAAAATGATGACATATGGCCAGGCCCGGTGGCTCAGACCTGTAATCCCAGCACTTTGGGAGCCCAAGGCAGGTGGATCACTTGAGGTCAGGAGTTTGAGAGCAGCCTGGCTAATATGGTGAAACCCTGTTTCTACTAAAAATACAAAAAATTAGCTGGACATGGTGGTGCATGCCTGTAGTCCTAGCTACTCTGGAGGCTGAGAAAGGAGAATTGCTTGAACCCAGGAGGCAGAGGTTGCAGTGAGCCAAGATCGTGCCACTGCATGGCAGCCTGGGTGACAGAGTGAGACTTCGTCTCAAAAAAAAAAAAAAAATGAAGCATGAAAGTATGCACTTTAGTTTGTTGTCCAAAGTCAGTCACATTTTACAAATGCTTGTCTTTGAAGAAAGACTTTGAAAATCAATCTAGTGCCTTACAATGTATTGAACTAGTTTGTAAATGAGTCCTCTATTCATTTTTGTTGCAATTTGTTCAAAATCAGTTGTGGATCTTTAATCAAAGTGTTTATTGGATAGAATTTCAACCAAACTTAAAGTTTTGAAA